>NT_187519.1:607772-759715 GCF_000001405.40 Homo sapiens | reverse complement strand
TTCATTGTGTCTTGGGAAAGAAGTCATTTTGCTTTGGACAAGTGAACGTGAACATGCTGCATTTACTGGGCTGTACTGGGTAGAATACAAGTACAAGAGAGAAGGTCAGTTACAACTTAGCAGCAATGGCAATGTAATTTTACTTTCCCCAAATTTTGTTGAAGCAGTCATTAAGAATTACACTCTATAATAAAAAAAGCATGAAAATATGATGCAGAAATCTCCGTTAATGAAATTCCTCTTGAAATTATCCTCTAATTCCCTTTTAATTCTCAAATTCACTTTGCCGTATAACTTTCAAAATGAAACTTCTGACATTTTTGTTTGTTCTTGGAAAAAGTGTTCATTTCTTTGCAGTTTTACGGTGAAAATAATATCCTATATTTCTTTTTAGGAATATATTCCTTTGTTGTGCTAGGAACAGTAAGTTTATTTAGATAATAGCCATCTACACTCTCTATCTCTAATCCCCAAAGGCCTTAACCTCCATTAGGAATAAATGTAGATTTTTGTTTGCTTGAAATAGCTTCCTGGGCATGTAAAAACCCCTTTGACATCATTATTTAGGGGCTCCCATCCTCCCAATGGAATCACAGCCTAATACAAAAACTTTGCAGCTGGTGAGCTCCCAAAGCCCCTTTTGATGATTGTTGTTAAACTCAGCATGGCAGCTTGCAGTTGTTCCTTTCCTGTACTGCCCCCCACCCCCCATGTTCATGTTCTTCATGACAATAAGAATTCTCCAGAGGTAAAACACAGGGCTGAAAATTTCTGATGTCTCCTTCATCCTCTGTTTCTTCTCATTCATTTCCATTCTAAGCATATTTATAAAGTTTAGTGGAGATTATCAAGGGAAAGATTCGTTCTCTCTCTGTCTCTAATAAACTAATTTCTTTAAAAACAAACAATTGAATATGAAAGCATTGAATATGCAGAGGTTATGAGACCCCTCATCTTTTCTGTAGAGTATGTTAGTTTCAGGTACATTAGAAATCAGAGGTCCTGGCTGTGACTTAGTTCAAACTTGGAAGTTTCTTATGTCATACTGTGTTCTTTATTGATAAAGTGAGGGGACAAATAACCCAAGCAAGTGGTAATTAAATGATTCATTAACTCAGTGACACACTAATTGACCAGAAATTTTCTCTAAAGTTTTTGTTCTAACTTTAACTGGCTGTATCAAGTATAGGCTTATGTTGGTATTATTTAGGGGAAAAAACATTTATCACTCAAGATAAAGCATGTTTAGCTCATTGAAATGTAAAGACAGAATACATTTTAATAGAACAATTACATATGATATGATTTAGATATTATGAAAATAACAACCATAATTGAGAAAGATCTAAAAAGACCTGGGACTGATAGGCAAGTTAGAAATGGACGTTAAATTATTGAAAAAAACATACGGAGACAAACATGTTAGAAAATAAAGTACTCCCTATGTTTGAGTTTAGTAAAATAAGCATTAAAATAGGGCTAAATGGAAACAGAAACAAAGCAAAGTAAAAAATCATCGAATGAACCTGAAAGATCTTTTTGATTCCACATAGGGAATTTGTTTTTTTGAAGTTTTTGATACCTGCATTAAAGCTGAATTTTAGAGTTAATGCAGATTTTGCTACATTAATTTTTTTGAAGTTCTGAATGCATTGAGTTTTGGAAACTATTTTCAGGATGAATACTACGGGTACTGCAGATGCTCACTTTATATAATTATGTGTCTTGAATTAATTAAATCCAACTTCAAAGGCATGTATCGGAAATTCCTTTGCATAATAAAACCTCCATTCCTAGTGCCAGTGATAAAATGAGCAGCAGAATGGTTTAGCAGGGGTGTCCAGTCTTTTGACTTCCCTGGGACACATTGGAAGAGGAATTGTCTTGGGCCACACGATGAGCTAAAAAAAAATCAAAATAAATCCTATAATGTTTTAAGCTCGTGAATTGTGTTGAGGCGCATTCAAAGCTGTTCTGGGCTGCATGTGGCCTGAGGGTCACAGGTTGGACAAGCTTGGTTTAAAGGGAATAGGGACAAATTCTCATTCCAGAGAGCTGAGTACTGACTAATATCATCTATTACCACATACTTTTGTGACCCTGGGCAAATCACTTTTCCTGTTTTTGTAAAATAAGGAGGATTGACCAAAATCATCTCTAAATCCATACATGTTTTTAGTATGCTCTGATCATTTTAAAATAAATAATTTTGACATCATATCTCGTTTTCTTAAAAATTGATATGCCCAATACTCTTATTTTATTTTTGAGACAGGATCTCCCTCTGTTGCCCAGGCTGGAGTGCAGTGGCATGATCATAGCTCACTGCAACCTCAACCTCCTGGGCTCAAGTAATCCTTCCACCTCAGCCTCTTGAGTAGCTGGGACTGTACAGGTGCACACCACCACGCCGGGCTAATTTTTAAATTTTCCGTAGAGGACGGGCTTACCATATTGCCCAGGCTGGTCTTGAACTCCTGGGCTCAAGTGATCCTCTTGCCTCAGCCTCCCCACCCCAAAAAAATCCTGCTAGGATTACAGGCCTGAGCCACTGCCCCCAGCCTACTTTTATTTTAGAACTGAGAGCTTCAGTAAGATCATAACAGGAAAATTTAAAATCTCCCCCATTACTTGTAAAAGAACATCTTTTTGAGAAATTAAAACAATTTTTTTTTTTTAATGAGCCAAGGACTCATGAATACAGTGATCACAAATGAGATCCCCTCATGGTGATGAGAATAGCCATTTCAGAAATTACCACTGAACATAGTAAAGAATACTGGAACTAATAGTTGGTGGTGTAAAATGTGATCAATCAAGAGAGTCTATTTCTGTTATGTATAATAATTTTTTTTTTTTTTTTTTTTTTGAGACGGAGTCTCGCTCTGTCACCCAGGCTGGAGTGCAGGGGCGCGATCTCGGCTCACTGCAAGCTCCGCCTCCCGGGTTCACGCCATTCTCCTGCCTCAGCCTCCCAAGTAGCTGGGACTACAGGCGCCCGCCACTACGCCCGGCTAATTTTTTGTATTTTTAGTAGAGACGGGGTTTCACCGTTTTAGCCGGGATGGTCTCGATCTCCTGACCTCGTGATCCACCCGCCTCGGCCTCCCAAAGTGCTGGGATTACAGGCGTGAGCCACCGCGCCCGGCCAATAATTTTTTAAGGTAAACTTTTTCTTAAAGTATGAGATACATAAAAGTGAAAGAATCATAAGAATACGGCTCTGTAAATATTCATGAAGTAAGCACACCATGTAACACCTATATTTAAAAAACAATATTACCACTACCTTATAAGCCTTCCCTTCCTCTACCCTTACAGTCACTATGTCCCACCAAGCAAACAGGATGACTTCTACAGCATATATTAGTTTTGCCTGCTTTTGAGTATGAAATCATATGGCGGCTTTTTCAAAATTTTATTTGTGAGATTTATTGATGTTGTTGTTTGTACTAACAGTTCATTCAGGCCCATTGCTGTATTATATTTCCACTGCATGACTAGACCCTAGTTTATCTGTTCTATTTTTGGATTTGTTTTGTTTTTACATTTTGGCTGTATGTCTTTGGGTGTGCATACATACACATTTCTGTTGGCTATGTACCTAGAAGTGGGGCTGCTGGATCATAGAACGTGCATATGTTCAACTTTTGTAGATGCTGCTAGATGCTTTCCTTAAGTGTTTATTCTTTATATTCCAGCAGCAGTTTGTAAGTTTCATTTGTTCTATATCTTCACCAACACTTGGTGATATTGTTGGTAGAGATGGGCCTCTTCCTATGGTTGCTGAGGCTGGTCTTAAACTCCTGGGTGTAAGCAATCCTTCCAAAGTGCTGGGATTACAGGCATGACAGGTGTAGCATCAACCTTGGCCAGTAATGTGGTTTTAATTTGTATTCCCCTGATAACTAATGAAGTAGAACTCTTTTTCATATATTTACTATTCATTTGGAGTACTAAAAAAATTTTATGACACTTGCATTTTAAAATATTAAACTTTCCTATGTTAAGAAGGGCTGTTGTAAATTAGTTATTTTCTAAAACATTTGGCATAATCATTCAGTCTATCTCTGTATTTGATAAGTTGTGAAATTCTTTGAAAATATTTTTTTCCTTAATAAAACTATGTATTTCAAACCATGGAATTGATTTCAAATGCTACCTTCTGAGTGTTATTAAGACTATTTATTCATAGTATTTTTGAAAACAAGACTAGAAAAAATGAAGTGTTTTAAACAAACAGTGGTTTTTCCTTCCAGGGAAGTCTTCTCCAGGAAATTTCTTTGCCAGGATGGTCAAGTCCCTTATATACAAAGTTTTTCTTCCAGGGTAAAATTATTAGGCATTGTAGAGGGTATAATTAAAAGTTGATCTGCCTAATTTTAGGTTTACCGGCCAATTACAACCTTATCATTGAACACAGAGTTTGGAAGATTCTTGAGCAGTATTTTAGAGCTGTTTTTGAGATGGAGACCAACTTTTCTATGTGCTCCTACATTTTCGAGCCTTCCGTGCACTTCCTTTGGATCTATGTGACTAATTTCTGGCCAGTGAATTGGGAGTGAAAATAGTATGTGTCACTTTGGCCTGAGTCAGTTAAGAGCTACCTCCTTCTGACCTCTTCTGTTGCAGTGGTGAACATGTACATGTTCTAAAGTTTATGTAATAAGCTAGTGTTTGTTGTTGCAGTCAATGTTAAGTAACCTAACAGAGTTTCATTTTCGTAAATGGTCTACACATTAAAAAAAAAAAAAGATACCCTGGAGCCCCTGAAGTATTTTTATGCCCATAATTTTTTGTGAGGAGAGTGCTGCTTTTAAAAAAGACTAGGGTTTGGAGAATATTCTTATGAGGAGAAATCGGTTTATGATGGGAAAATGAAAAAGGACAAACGTTTGTTTTATCATTCTACCAAATGAGAAGAAAACTTTCACAAAAAGAAATGTTTAAGGTTTCTGATTATCAGAGTTTTATTTATTTATTGAGATGGAGTCTCGCTCTGTCGCCCAGGCTGGAGTGCAGTGGTGCCGTCTCGACTCACTGCAACCTCCACCTCCTGGGTTCAAGTGATTATCCTGCCTCAGCCTCCCAAGTAGCTGGAATTACAGACACCCAGCACCATGCCCGGCTAATTTTTGTATTTTTAGTAGCGACGGGGTTTCGCCATATTGGCCAGGCTGGTCTTGAACTCCTGACCTTAGGTGATCGCCTGCCTCAGCTTCCCAAAGTGCTGGGATTACAGGTGTGAACCACCATGCCTGACCTCTGAGTATATTTATTATTTACATAAAATCCGATTCTTTTTATAACATTAAAATGATTTTAACTAGTTTTGCTTTTTTAAAAAAATTTTCAATTTAGAAAGGTGGTAACTATCAGAGAGGCATATGACACAGACATAGTGGCCCCTTGGTATCCACAGGGGATTGGTTCTAGGTCCCTTGTGGATACCAAATTCCAAGGATGCTCAAGTCCCTTATATACAATGGTGTAACATTTGCATATATTGTTCTATTGTTATTTTTTACTGTTTTTTTTTTTTTTTTTTAATTTTCTATCTGTAGTTGTTTGAATCTGTGGATGAGAAACTCATGGGTTCAGAATGGCCTATCACAAACTGAGGATTATGGAAAAATACTGTAGTTTACAGGTATTTTTTTGAATACTGTTAATACACAGATTACTCATAGTCTAATTGGAATAAAAATATTGAGAAAAATAAAGTCCTTTTCATGTTTAATTTCTAATTCTTTGCACAAAAGTAATTTTTTGGAAAAGCTGTTTCTTGGTTTCATTTTAGAATTCCCAGCAACCAAAAGTAAGCCTGAGTTTGTACCAAGGTAGGAAGTATTTTATGTTTTATCATGTCTGCTAGTCTTGTTCTATTAAATTACTTAAGCAACTTTTTATTATAGGAAATTTGGAAATGTGAGATGTTTAGCGCAAGGAAATGATCTTAAATGGAACAAAGCTGGTTAAGAAATTGAAATGAATAAAAAGCATGTTATGAAAATATGCAACACTCTCATTGACCTAATTAAAATAGCTTATATAAGATTATTGTTGGACTATGTCTTATAAACTTACAAGGGAAATCTTGATTCCCTCTCTTTAACTCCTTATAGTTATTGCCAAGATTAATATTCTTACATGTATATTTTTACAAATATGTATGATAGAATGGTCACTGTAAAAAAGTTCTATTTTTAAAAACATTGGCATGAGAAAAAGGTGAATGCTTCTTAATAAAGTATTGGAATAATTATTTATTAGTGTTACTGGAAATGGGTGATTCAGTGTCACTTTTTGGGTAATGTGGATTTGTTTTGAGAGAGAAACAGAGAAACAAGGAAACAAAAATCAACAAAGACTAACAAAATTTCTGCCCAGAATACAGGTACGTGCTTGCATGAAACAAAGGTCCTATCATGAAAATACTAAAAGTCTTTGAAGAACTAGGCTGGAGTTTATACTGTTAGTGTTCTTTATTGACGATATATGGAACATACAGTTATATATGTGATGAAGTTAACATTAATGATATAAATTTCCCAGATGTAGGGCTAACACTTCTTCAAAAATCAGATTTCCAGGTATTTCATAGCTTGAACAAATATTTGATGAGACCCCTCCCCTGAAATTTTATACCCTAGAACTTAATAAACATGCCTGGAAATTTTATGTAGATGAAGGATTGGGGTTTCTAGAGGTCATGGCATAAGTCATTCTTTCCTACCTGGCCTTTGTACAATACCAGATACAAAATGAAGAGTAAAGATAGAGGCCAGAACGTACCTACTAATGATAAAAGTCCAAGTGGAGGTCTGAGTTTGAGAGCCAAATGACCTGCTGATTGAATTGCAGAACCAGGCCAACTTTTTCAAGCACTCTTCAGGTAATATAAATAAGACAGTGCCATAGAGCAGGGATCTTTATGGTTTTTGTTGCAATTGTAGCTACTCTGTGATTGTGATGCAAGAAAACAGCCATAGACAACAGGTAAGCTAATGAGTGTTCCAATAAAACTTTATTTAGAAAAATAGGCATCAGCCTTTTGTAGTTTGCTGATCTCTTGCATAGAGGAAAAAGACACATTTGCATTTTCTGCAGCCTACTAGTTTCAACAGGAAGAAAAGGGGCCCAGCAGAATCCTGCATACCAAGGATTTTTCCTCACCAGTTTTTCACCAGATTAAAATACTCCATCTTACCAGAATTAGAGGGAGTAAAGGGAGAGAAAGAAACCTGAAATAATACTAATGAGCTCTCCTTGTAAGAAGGGGGGCAAACGCTTTTCTCACAAGTCCCTTGACACTAGAATTTACTCTGTTACTCAGGTATACTGCCTTTCCAGTGGACTCAAAAGAACCTATAAAACACAAAGTATTACTTTGTACTGCATTTTCCAAACTTGAGAGTCTAAGTGTTTTGGTGCTAATTTTGGCGTAGTTTCTCTCATTTTTTGGTTAGTGATAGTAAAACCATGTAATGAGCTCCCAGGAAGACCCTTCTCTTCCGGCCACATGTGTTGACATGAGGACATGCCTTTGGCCTATTTTGGGCAGCTAAGATTACTCTGTGGATTGATTCATATTTTTTGAGTGCCTACAAAATATGAGGCATTTTGATAAATGCTGGGGATACAATAATGAGCAATAGTGATCCAGTTCTTACCCTCACAAGAGCTTGTGCTGTGTAACAGAAAGGGCTCTAAAAAGAAAAAGTGATTTCTAATTTGAAACCTGAGGGACTAGCAGCACATGCCAAAGGGGACAAAGTTCAGCATGTTCCGGGATTTGGGGAAAGCATTGTTTATCTGGGGAACAGAGTGTAAGGGGAAAATGGAGATAGATAGCTGAGGCTGGAAAAGGAGGAGGGAGCCTAGGTTGCAAAACCTGTGTAAGCACTTGGGTTTTGTCAGATCAGCAGGACGTGGTTGAGGGGCTTTAAAGCCATAAGATGATGTGAATGATCTCTGTTTTTGAATATGTTCAGTCTAGGTTAGAAGAGGCAAAAATTGAAGACCTACATTTGTACTGTTCAACAAAGTAGCCATGGGCCAAAGTGGCTGTTGAGCACTTGAAAGGTAACTAGTGTGATGAGGAGTGAGTTTTACATTTTTGTTAATTTTGATTTAAAAATTTAACTTAAAATTTTAAACAATATGTTTTCCTTTAACTTTAGTATTTTGATTGGACTACATTTCACATAAGTTATTGAAAATTTAGAGTGCGAATTGACCTATATTATAGGTGTAAAATTCACACTGGATTTTGAGTTCAAGATATAAAAAACAAGAATGTAAAATATCTCAATTTTTTCTATGGTTATATGTTGAAATGATCATATTTTGGATATACTTGGTTAAATATATTATTCAGTTAAATTTTACTCTTTCTTTTTGCTCTTTTATGTATGGCTTTTAGAAAATTTAAAATTACATGTATGTGTCACATTATGTGTCTTATTGGACTACTCCGGCCAGATTCCAGTTCAGAGGCTCTCATAGGAATCTAGATGAGAGATCACCATGATCTGTGCTAGGGTTGTGGCAAAAGCATAAGGTTTGAGAGTGATCTAGGAAATAAAACATAGGATTTGCCATTTGATTAAATGAGAGATGGTGAATTCGTTATAAAGAAGGAAAAGGGAGCCTCCAAGCACAAAAATACAAGAAAATGTATGGTAGCGGAATGGCAGATTCAGACATGTAAACAAGCAAAAACAATGCATGTTATTTTTTATTGACAAACTAAAATAATGTAGTTAAAACAATATTCTTCTACCATTGGATTTTAGCATTTTTAATGTTTGCTTTTTAGTATATACTACCTAATTGCTTCTTTAGAGTTACATAGTTTTGCATTTCTTAGATTGTAACTGAACACTAAATTTTACAGTGTGTAATGGTTTACCATCTTTATTTCCGTGTCATTATCTGTTCATCCTCAACGAGTACTAAGTGGGAAGTGGGACTGGAGACATTTATGTATACTTTTGAGCACATAAATTCTCTAAACATTTTCAAATTTGATAATATAAAATTTATTTACATTTTCTTTAAGATGAAGCTTATTCCTTCTTAAAAGAACAAGTACTTTATTTACATGTGAAGGTTTACTAGACACCTCCCTAAAGTTGAAGCCCTAACAGTATCTGATGAATGTTAAACGTTTAATACTTTCCCCCATTGTCCTCCTAAGAAATAAGATGCATTTCTAGCTTCATTTTCCAGTCTCTTAAGCTTATGAAAGTAGTCGAGACAGTTTGTTGACCCCAAAGAGACCTTTTAGTCTCTGGCTTGTTAGACAACAGGGTCTGTAGTCTTCATTGGCATTCAGATCACAGGCAGCCACTGGGCTCAGTGCAAAGCCAAGCACAGCTTTAGGATTTAGACAAAGCCACCCTGGCAAAGGAACCCAGTTGTCAGGGTAGCTGGCTGTATTGTAAAGAACTGTTGCATAATGGAGAGACCAAGTAGAACTATTAGGATGCAAATGTGAAAAAAATGGTGGAGCTAACCTGCAAAAACAAACATTTCTTTTTTGGTGAAGAGTCTAGTCATTGTTGCTTTCTTCTGTTTTAACTTCTCTGGGCCAGGGATGTAGTCGGTGCAATTTGAGTATATTAGTTATCTTCAGTCATAATGCCATCCTATATTACTTTAAAATGAACAGTTAATTTGTAGGAAGAGACCACAGTACTTCAATGTTTTGGAATCTTTTCATAATTTACAAGTGCATCCTACTTTAGTCTAGATCAATTTTATATGTGATTTTTATTCTAGATTAGATGGGAAATCCTTTTTGCTCCTGATTTTATTTCATCTGATTTATAACAAAATATTGTTCTAATCATTGCCATCCAATGACTTCTCCCTGTGGATTCTCATAGTTGTCCTATTTATTGTAGAATTTTTGGCTCAAGAGGAAAGCTACTGAAATCCTTAAAACAAGAATTGCTTTATTTTACTAATATCTTAAGGAAGTCTACCCTGTCCCTTTTCTCCTTTTCACTTTCTTTTGTTTGTTCATCCCTGTATTGAGTGCTCACTTTTTCTTTTGCTTTCTACTTCTTCATTAGTTCTTTTCTTTCTACTTTTCATCTTTCTTAGCAAAACATTGTAGAACCCACACTTTGATAAATGCTGTGGTAGGGAAAGGGAATACTAGTAAGAAGAAGAAGAAGGAATAACAGAAGGGGCTCCTAACCTGGATTTAGGAGTCAGGGAATAACAATTACACCCATGCCTTACTGAGCTGTTACTACACGCCAAGCACTATTTTAGGTGTTTTACCTGAATTAATCTCATTTAATTCTCATAGCAACCTTATGAGGAAAGCGCTATCACCCCCATTTTGCAGATGAGTATGAGGCACAGAGAAATAAAGTGACTTGTCCAAACTCACATTTTGTGTATGATAGAGCCAAGAAAGGCTTTCTAGAAGTTTTGAGCTTGAAGCTGAGATCCGAAGGTAGAGTAAGAGTTGCCTGGTACACTGTGAATGGAAGCAGGTTATGGGAAGAGGGACCAGCAAAAGTGTGACAGAAAGGACTCTTGCACCTTTCTGGAAGTGAAAGTAGATTAGTAGGGTTTGAGGGATTCTGTGAGAAAGGGACTAGTGAGAAATGATGCTGGAAAGATTGCTCTATGTTCAGATAATTTACATATGTTATTTGTGTGTGACGGTTCATTTATTCAGCAAATACTTGTGTCTATGAAATGCCAGTTGCATGGCTGTTATCTGTTGGGAAGGTGGAAAGAAAATAGCAATATAGGGGTGGCATACATCTGGATGAAGTTACGTGGACTTTGAGGTGTTTTAAAGTAGATGAATCTTAAGCAAAGTCTTAGTACGTCTGTTTTGTTTCAAATCAGCATATGCCTTGACTTTCTCATTTTGTTAGGCTTCCATTTCTTTATCTTCGAACTTAGTACTTGCAAGGCTCCTAATTTCTTTAAGATTGCTGTATAATACCATTCACTTCATTCTTGTTTTGGTTTGCCTTTGAAATAGCTTTAAGAACAAAATACCTCTATAGCTGTTATTTTTCTGACTTTTAAACCTTTATTGGTAGGGCCATTCTTTTTTCTAATTCTTGCTTCTCATTTTCTTCCAGGACTATGATTCCTTCAGCCTTCTTTAGTTCCTTTCTTTCTAGTAAATTCCATTAACAGTGGGCATCAAGTACAGCCATTTAAGGCCTTTTATGTTTTTCTTGACCCCAGGTTTTTGGAATCTGAATGTTGATTTATCACTAAGACAATGATTGGTAATTGTAATTTCTAACATTGATTACTCACTATGGTATGTGCCAGGCACTATGCTAATTGGTTTATATAAAATAACCTAAGCTTTAGAACAACTTTCTGTGGTAGGTGTTACCAAATTATTATCATCCAGTTTTCTAGTGAAATGGGAGTTTCAGAGGGATTGTTATCCAGGTTACACTGATAATAAGTGGCAGAGCCAGGATTTGAATCCATGTATTTGACTACAAAGCATATACTTTTTACCCCCATCTCAAGCTTTCTGTCTAGCACTTGCATTTTCTTATTTTTACAGATTAAAAAAAGTATGTGGCAGATGGTTTAGGCTAAATATAACCAAAGCTAAATGCATCTCCCCCTAAATTACTTACCACTGTACTTAATATTTATTTAGGATGTATTTTGTGTTTAGCACTAGCACAAGGAAGAATAATTTTACTTTTTAATAATATTTGAAATACATACTTTGAACTTCAAATTCATTCTCCCATTCTATTTATTCTTCCATGGCATTGTCTCAAATACCTGTCATTGGCTTCTCTCCTCTACAGTTTGACCCATCAGTTGGGTTTACATTTGTTTCCCACAGGTGATTGTGGTGAGCATGCACCCACTTTTGCAGCTATCTAATAAAAAGATGGAAATAGTTGGACAACTCATATCAACTATGAGAATGACTGGTGATGACTGATAGTAAGAGCTGGCTACTCATGCTAACGTTTGTTGCTAGGTATGTTACAGTAGTCTCTAATAAAAATGGTGGAAAATGTTATGAGAGGAAACGCAACGAAATATTTTTCTGGGTATAAAGTAATGTTACAAATTGCTTTTGGTATGAGTAGCCAGTTAAAGTTTCAAATATCATACTTAGATGATATTTTTAGAAACATGTTGAAAAATAGTCATGTGGTGCAGAATGATGTTTCAGTCAATGATGGACTGCATATATGACAGCGATCCCATAAGATTATAATGGAACTAAAAAATTCTTATTGCCTAGTGATGTAACATCATAGCACAATGCATTACGTTTTTATGGTGATGGTGGTGTAAACCAACCTATTGCATTGCCAGTTTTGTACAAAAGTGTAGCACATACAATTATATACAGTACATAGTACTTGATAATGATAATAAATGACCGTGTTACTGGTTTATGTATTTATTATACTGTTGTCATTTCAGAGTGTACTCTCTCTGCTTTATTTTCTTTTTTAAAGGTTAACTGTAAAACAGTCTCATGCAGGTCCTTCAGGAGGTGTTACAGAAGAAGGCGTTGTTATTGGAGATGGCAGCCCCATGCACATTATTGCCCCCAAAAGCCCTCCACTGGGACAAGATGTGGAGGAGGACAATGATATTGATGATCCTGACCCCGTGTAGGTCTAGGCTAATATGTATGTTTATATCTAAGTTTTTAACAAAAAAGGTAAAAAAAATTTAAGTAGAAAAAAGCTTATGGAATAAGGATATAAAGAAAATACTTTTGTACAGCTGTACAGTGTATTTGTGCTTTAAGCTGTGTTACTGCAAGAGTCAAAAAGCTACAAAATTAAACAGTTTATGAAGTAAAAAAGTTATAGTAAGCTGAATTTATTATTGAAGAAAGAAAAATATTTTGTTATTGTAGCCTAAGTGTACGGTGTTTATGAAGTCCACAGTAGTCTACAGTAATATACTAGACCTTCATATTCACTCACCAGTGATTCACCCAGAGTCACTTCTAGTCCTACAAGCCCCATTCGTGGTAAGTGCCCTATAGAGGTGTGCCACTTTTTTTTTTACCCTGTGTACTGTATTTTTACTGTACCTTCTCTATGTTTAGATTTGTCTAGATACACAGATACCATTGTGTTAGAACTGCGTATTCAGTACAGTAACATGTTCAGATTTGTAGCCTAAAAACTAGGTGTTTCTATGATGTTCACTCAGTGAGGAAATTGCCTAATGATGCATTTCTCAGAATGTATCCCCATCATTAAGCAATGCATGACTGTAATGGAGTAATGTGACCTGGTATTCTTTTTCCTTTTTATAGTTCACACTGTATATTTTTAAACAATACTTCAGTGTTTCAGTTTATTTGTGAACTTTGATTTGTGCACTCATTTACACATTCATACATACATTGATTCACTCCTTCATAAATACTTTATTGATGAAATATTACTTACTGGAAGTGCCAGTGAGGTACAGGAGATACAGCAGTACACAGTGCTGAAATAGTCACAGCCCTCATGGACTTGACAGTGTGTTTATCATTGGATTGGATTTAAGAGAATTAGCTAATTTTTTTCTGTTGAGAGTTCATGCCATATTTGACTTTTGGATTTTCTGAGATTTATATTAATACATTTGAAAATTTTGGTTTTAGAATTAGGCTAATGGTTACAGTTGTACCTCAGTTTATTGTGCTTTGTTTAATTGCACTTTGCACATATTGCATTTTGTACAAATTGAAGGTTTGTGGCAACTCTGTTGAGCAAGTCTATCTGTGTCATTTTTTCCAACAGCATATGCTCACTTGATTAGCATTTTTAGCAATAATGTTTTTAATTAAGATACGTACTTTTTAAAAGACATAATGCTATTGCACATTTAATAGACTATAGTGTAGTGTAAATATAACTTTTATATGAGCTGGGAAACCAGAATTTCATATAACTTGTTTTATTGCCATATTTATTGTAGAGGTCTGTAACTGAACCCAAAAGGTCTCTGAGATATAACTTGTATATAGATTTTGATTTGGTCACTACATATGTTTATGATTGTTAGCTTATACTTATTGGCATTCTGAAATTTTCCTTTTTTCACTTAATATTGTTTTTGTGCTCTGTCCGTGTGCAATGTAGTTACAGCTGTAGCTAAAGCTATTGGTAGGTTATGCCTTTTAGCTGCTGTATAGTATTCCATTTGAATATGTAGCACTACTTTTTATTTATTCTTTAATTGATAGACTTTTAGAATATTTCCCCTTTTCCTCTTCTAGTCAGTTAATACTACAATAATTGAGGTCTCTTATGAGTCAAAACTTTAAACAGCTTTGAAAGAGAGCTATCTTTTGTCTCATTAATGTAATTTTAAAATAGAAGTATTTGAATTTTGCCTTTAGTATTTTTGATATTTGGAGAAAGTTCCAGTTGACTTAGTTTAAATGGAGTCTAGTTTGTGTGCTTTTCATACCTTACCAGTAAAAGTCCTGAACTGGTCATTTTACTTGGAGTGTATGAATTGGCATAGCACAGTACTGAACAGGTAAAAGGAAACAAAGTATAGGAAAGCAGCTAATTATAGTAATTGCAGCTGGTTTCAAAGTACTTCTAACAGTTTGTGCATAATGCTTACTTGAAAGCATCAAATGGGTGCTAGTTGTGAAATAGAACACCTGTTTGTTGTTGAGCATGTGTTTATGCAGATGATTGTTGTTGTCAAAGCACCTTGATGTAGAGTAGTCCTGTTTACATTTACATTCTCCCCAAAGGATTAACAGTGTTCTCTCAATAAATTTGCAGTCTATTCTCCTCTCAAAGGCTGCTGTTTGGAGGGTGGTGTGAAAGAGGCAACAAGTGCTTGCTAATCACTTGAATATACATAATTAGCTGCAGTCTGGTGCACTGGATTCTTTGTAGAACCATAACAATACTGATTGGCAAATGCACATAACAATAGATGTGTCACCATATAGTCCTTGAGAGTGCTGGTTGTTTGTTCATTGGTATTTATTACTTATTTTTCTCAACATGAGTTAAATTTTTATTATCAGTACACAAACTCTTTTCCTGTTCTTTTAAATGAACCAGTGTGTTATATAACAACTCCGTCATCACTAAGAAGCAGTGTTGTAAATTTCTAGACTACCTAGAGTCTGAGGGTATTATTTAAAAACACATTTGCTGTATTTAGTAATTCCAAAGATTGAGAAACGTCCAGTCAGCCACCATCTCTTCCCTTTGGTAGGCTCAGCAAGGGAGTGGAGAAGCTTTTTAATGGAAGAAAGAGGCAGCTTTAGGTATGCTGTGGTTGGAAGGCTGTTGGCATGGGAAAGCTGGAAGTGTGGGTATCTTGTGTGACTGGTCTGGGGAACATCTTAGCTTTTTCTGTTTGGTCCTTGGTTGTCATTGCCCAAGTCCTGACCGTTCTGGGCTCTTGGCTGCAGAGCTTGTGGTTTGCCATCCTGCGTTGGTTGCAAAGGTTGTGGCTCAGAGTTCTGTGGTTATACATGATCTCACTGTTGTCCATTTTATATTCAGCCTCTCAGTGGGTAGTGTTGTTAAGATGAGGCGAAATTTATTTAGAAAAAATATGTAAATCTATATGAGGAACAATATTAAGTAAATAATGTAGATGGCATGTGAATATGACACAAATTGTGAAGGTGGTAAATGAAATTAGGAAGAAAGGAAAAACCGTTACATGGTAATTACATATGAGGCATTTCACTGAGTGTTTTCCCATTTTATTTCATTTTATCCTCTTCAAAGCTCTATAAGTACAATATCATAATCCTGAAATTATAAATGAAGATTCTGAGGGTTAGTGAAGTACATTGGTCCATGGTTGCACAGCTAATAAACAGGAGCTGGAATTCCAACCCAGAGCTTACTGACTTGAGCTTACTGACTTTTGACTCTAAAAAGAGGCACAAACTATTAGTTTACAAATGTGATCATTCCATGAACTGAGATCTTTCAGTGCGTCACTTCTAGTGCCTTCTATTTCTCTTCACAGAACACTCTTTTTGGATAAAGAGGGTTTAAAAAATAATCTCTCTATTGATTTTTAAATAGCTGCGGTGGCTAGCTTCCAAGTCTGCAACTATGTACTTCCTTGTTTCAAGCTGGCCTCACTATGTGTGTAGAGGACGCCTTGGCTTATCCTAGTTACTGTTGCTGTACTGAGACCATCCAGTAAGAGTGACTCAGAGCTTGCCCATTACCTCTTCTTGCCCCTTAGTTCTTGCTGTATATCAAAGCAAGTGTTTTCTAAATTCTTGCAGACTCTTTGTTCTCTATTGCCTTATTATTGGTGATATTGCATGCCATTTATCTTAAACGTATGGATGGTAGAAAACATGAGCTGCTACAACAACATAATATATATCTACAGCAGGCTATTATATATATTTTTTGCTTTCATTTTGGCATGTGGTAGATACTTACATATAAGAGTTTATGCTATGAGCAGAAATAATCGAAATGTCACGGGATCCTTCAGGTGTCACTCTGCCAGCCGGGAACCATTGTGGCCTGTGGCGCCCCTGCTTGAGTTTCACTCACTCCCACTGTGCTCGTTCCACCCACTCAGCCCGGCAGGCTGCACTCAGTTCGCCCAACCCGGATCCCACGCCTGATGAGGGCAAACCAGGCTCAGAGCACTGAAGGGTGTGTGAGAGAGCTAACACAGGGTCCGGCCAGCTGTGGTGGGGCAGGCAGCTCTGGGTGCTGGCAGAGGTGCCGGCTCCTTGCCAGGCTGCAGCTGGAGCAGGCGTACCACACGTAGTTTCTGGTGCAGGTGCTGGTGTCTGGAAAAGGGGGATGCGGTGGCACCTAAAAACTTGGGGACGCCAGCAACTGCAGAGCCTCAAGGAGTGGGTCAGGCGTGCTCTCTCATTCTCTCCACCCGCGGCTCGGCGAGCAGGGGGAGCAGGTTTCAGCTTGTTCAGTCCCACCACCTCACCCCAGCCGGCGGCTCCCAGGCTGGCCCAGCTCCACTGCCACTTCCTGTCACATGGGGCAGCTGCCCAATGCAGGCAGAAGGCAGGAAGGCTATAGTGTTACAGCCCTGGCTTGGGAAATCCTGATGTCTCGGCCCCCAGAAGTGTCACTGCTTTTCACTCCTGCAGTCCAGCAAATGGGAGCATGTCACCACCACAGTTTGGTGAGTTGGCCAGGAAAGTGTTGCAGCCCTTTTCATGCCCACTGTTGGGTGGGTCCCGAATTCTGGTCCTTTGTCCAGGAAGAATGAGGTTACGTGGACAACTGGAAGGTGAGCAAGGTGGAGAAGTTTTACTGAGTAGCAGAACAGCTCAGCAGAGAGGAGACCCAAAGCGGGCAGCTCCTAAGGGTAGTCCTTACTTACCTTGAGTCCAGCTGAAGCTGGGGTTTTTATGGGCTCAAAATGGAGGAAGTGTGTGCTGATTGGTCCCTGGGCAGGAGGAAGTGCGTGCTGAGTGGTCCATGGGTGGACCTGGAAAAAACACCATTTCATTGGCTGAAAGGCGTAAAGGAAATTCTCCCTCCAGGTTGTGGATTCCAGCTAGAAGGAGCAGCCAGGTTTTCAGGCTTCATGCTGTGTGTGCCCTGAAGGTTGGGTTTCACTGGGGACCTGTCCCAATCTGCCTAGGAATTTGTCTGCCTCCTGCCACTATCACAATTTTATTTCTGAAATACACAAATATTTAAAGCTGTTAGGAAGGTGTCAGTAGAGAGACTTGGAAAATACAGGCAAGATGAAAGTAAATTATTCTGGTAATAAAGTGACCCATTCTTATTAGGGAAAATGAAAAATATACATAAAGAAGAACACTGTAATCTATCATTTATTGTCCAGAGATATTACTAATATTTTATGTCTCCTTAATCTTTTGTCTATGCACATATTTTTATTTTTAAAATACAACATTTGGAATTTTATATCTTGCTTTTTTTCTCTTAATATTATGAACGTTTTCCCATATCATTAAGGACTTTTAATAGCATTTTATAATTATTTACCTAACAGTTCTCCCTGATCATTAGACAGTTAAGATAGATTTCAGATCTTTTTTTAAGGTAGATTTTTATGAGTGAAATTACTGGCTCAAAGGATATGGTTACTTTCATGTCTCTTTATAATCTATGAGGTACTTGATTTTTTTCCTGGAAAGGCTGTACCCATTTATGTTCTCACCATATTCTCATGCTTTAAACTCAGTGCATATGCTCTTATTTTCACTAGTATTTTGAATTCCACCCTTTTAATCTTTTCAAAATCTCAAATCATTACCTCTCTTGTATTACCAGTCTCTCCCTCTCTGCTTTATCATTCACACCGGCATATAAAGGTGCAATAGTATCTTCCATCCTAAAAAGAAAAGCCCCCTCTTGACATATTGCTTCCCATTCTGCTACTGCCTCTATTTCTGCTTCTCTTTTAATAAAATTTTATTGCATGGTTTGTCCACACTGGCATCTTTCATATTCTCACCTTGTAGTTAATTTTCTGCCCTAAACTCTAGTTTATTTGGATTTCTTACTCCTCTGAAGAGTCTAGTAAAAATCATTGACATCCGCGTGAACATTTTTCTCTTTCTTTTTCTCCATCTCTTAATATCATTCAGCACAAGTAGCAACTCAATTCTTGAAACCCAACCTTGGTTTCTCCTAACTCATTGGCTCTTCCTTTCTGATCTTGTATCAGTTCTTGATACACTACCTGATGCCTACTTATTGGAGGGCCATGTGACTCCATGGAGGACTCCTTTCCCTAAGGAAAAACTAAGTTTCCCTGAAGTCCTTTTTGTCTCTAATAACTTTTTACCTCTTCTGGGATGTCTGGCATATGACTCTTGCCTTAGAGTCCATAGACTGCAAATGAGTTTGTGCTTTTAATGACACGTACTTTAAAACTCATTGATCTTAGTTTTATTAAGTCTTTAGATTTTTGAAAATTTTCTTTCAAGTGGTTATTCTTTGAAATCGTGAAGAACTGACAGCATATGACCAGACAGTTTTTCTACAAAAGCATTGGGATTGCCTGTCCTGTCCTATCTGTTCCCATAAAGTTTTAGGTGAAATACAAAGGTTTATGATCTAAATTCACAATTGCTAGTATGATGCATTAGCACACCATAAGTTCACAGTACTCTTTGCACTATATTCCTGAATGATTAAAACTTACAGCTGGCATAGTATCAAGTGCTGGCTGCCCAAGTGTCTCCCTCACAACCTATAGATAGAGTTTATTGCCTGTCACAGAAAGGGAGTACACCACCTGGTTAGAACTTTGGCGGTTTCTTGGAGGGAAGAAAGCAAGGATAGTATGTACTGAGAATCAAAGTTTGGTTGAGGTTGAGTGAATACTGGGTGTGTGTGTGTGTTTGATTAAAATTGGATGATGACCATTATGCAACAGCAAGGGATTCAAAAAATCTTACATACTGTTGGGGCTTTCTATTGAATCGTTGATGCGTGTTTCAGGAGTTTGCTGTGATGAACAATCAAACCGTTTGCCAGGGTGAGGCTCTCCCTGAATAGTCAAGTCATGTTAACGTACACTGTGAGTTGTTTAGGGAGTTGATAGTTTTAGTCTTCAAGTTGTATGTGGTTTCTGTTAAACTATTAATGTCATAGGACTACAACATACTACTTCAAGCTCTTAAAATGGCTTTCCCTTATTTTTGAGAGATGTAGCTGAGTGCTGCTTATAGTCAGGTCAATTCTTATAAAACACCAACATCCCTCTATGCCTAAATATCAAATCAGTGTTATAATTATTTTTTTAAACTAAGATTATATCAAATTTTTTAGTTTGATACTTACAAAATAGTTATGATGCTTTTTTTTCTTGGTTCTCTTTTTTTCTTTGCTAGAAAGACTTTGAACTATAAGGATGGAGGTTCCTTTTCTGCAGACTTAAGAAAGAGGATGTGAAACTTGGTGTCATGAGTTCTAAATACCTCAAGTTATTGTTGCAAGAATAGGGTTTTCAGTTTTGCAATTTCAGCCTATAAATTACAATGAAGAGTAAGAGTCCTTATAATAATAAACTTTTGGGGCTGGGAGCAGTGGCTGACACCTGTAATCCTGGCAATTTGGGAGGCTGAGGTGGGAGGATCATTTGAGGCCAAGAGTTCTAGACCTTCCTGGGCAACATAGCAAGACCCTATCTCCACAAAAAGTGAACAAAATTAGCCACGCATGGTAGTGCATGCCTGAAGTCCCAGCTACTTGGGAGGATTGCTTGAGTCAGGAGGTCAAGGCTGTGTTGAGCTGAGATTGTACCATCGCACTCCAGCCTGGGCAACAGAGCAAGACCCTGTCTCAATCAATCAATCAATCAATCAACTAACTTACTTTTGGTATTGTATGCTGATTTATGAAGGTTGAACCTAGGATTAAATGTTGTCTTTTGTCTGCCCTTTATTTTTCTTCCCTTAACAGATGCCATGTTGAGCTGCCTTGTCCTGATTTTGACCCACAATGTGTATTCAGCCTCAGCACTTATTATGTAGGTTAGGCTCCTTTTAAATGTTAATGTTTCACATTTATGCTTGTGTGAATTGCTCATTTTCTGTCATAACCTGGGGGTATGGAAGGAATCTGTTGAAGACCAAGGAGGTGGGCTTTACCACAATACTGACATCTCTTCTCAGCTCAGGCAGGGAGCCTTGGCTAGGCCACCTATTGCCACTGCCTAAGTAGAAGGTGATTGGCAGAATCTTATCTGCTTTGCTTTGACTTTTCATTGCCAGAGTTTGTTGAAGGATGCCAGATGTTTGGGAAAACAAGTTTCTTTTTGCTTTCTATCCCTATTCTTGCCAAATTCTTACCTGTTTTTTCATGAGGATGCCCTGGCTTGCAAGAAAAAGCAAGAAAAATAAAAACATAAGTTTGATTCTTAATTTGAGCATTCTGACCCATTTTCAGCTTTATATATCCTTGGTCCATTTTTCTTCCTGTTATTTTGACAACTCTCATGGCTGTGGGACTGAGTGCTTGTTCATAGATAAATGTTAACTTTCTTTTGGGTTGAAAAAGAGAATATTGGTTGCTAAGTTGAGCAACCACAGACTGAGATTTTCAGAAAATTGACAACTTCTTTTGAGAATTTACCTGTTGTAAGTTATAGAAACTGAACTTAAATATTACCAAACAACCATATTAAATATTTGCCATATTTTAGATTGTTCCCTGCATTAATTGAGTTCACTTTATAGGTGTAAAATATTTTTATATTTAGTAAGCAGATCAAATAATATTAACCCCACAACTTTTTCCCACACGTTAAAAAACACCTGACTCTTCATCCAGATAATTTTTCCAGATTTCACCACTGGAATTTACTTATACATCCTTTAATACCTAAATAATCAGTCTTGTTCTGATATTATCTGCCTTTCGTAAATAATTGAAATGGATTTGGCTTACATATTGGGGCGTGGGTTAACCTCCAGTTGGAATTCTAAATTTATCAAACTTAAGATCTGTTAAAATGCCCAGCAACAGAATAATTAAAACAGATTTGAAAAGATGAGTAGCACCCACCAGCATACTAGACATTAATGTTGGAGGTATGAAATTCCAGACATTAATGTTGGAGGCATGAAATTCCAGAGCTGCCTGCACTAGGCCTTTATGAGAACTAACCTTTTAAAAAGGCCAGTAGCTTTCCTAGTCTTCTACGAAGTGCCAGATAGATGAGTGAATGTGTATAAACACCTTTCTGTGTGTACTTTTTAGCTATTACTTTGAAAATTGTAACAACATATATATTGCTTATCCATTTTGAATCAACTGTGACATCTTTTAGCCATGTATATGTGGCATATGTATTGTTTTCATTAAATCGTCGAAATTATATAAGCCAGTTACCACTTTTCACTAATTTTTTTTGGCAATGGTATTTTGGAAGAATTAAATATATTTGAACTGTATATTGAAGTAGTCAAAGTGACCTTCAAAAGGAATGTAATGATCTTAAATATAATATTTTATCTTATTTAGTTGTCACAAGGACCTTATTTCTGTGGTTATGCCCCCGACCCTTAACCCTTGCAAATCTCCGTATGCAGTGAGCAGTGTTACTGCTGGAGTATATTATTCTTGTCTCTGAAGTAGAGACACAAAAAAGGCTGAGTTCTGTTCTGTTATTCTGCTAGATTGGTCACATATTCCTGGAGAGTGGTGTTATAATTTTTTTTCCTGCATCTTTGCAGATAGCACAGTGCCCCCATGGAATACTTCACTCACTCTAGTCACTGGTGAAGTCCTACTCATCAACCCTTCAAGTTATAGCTCAAGTTTCACCTCTTGTATCTTGTCTTCCCTTGTCACCATTTGAAAGTAAACTCTTCCTTCTGAAACTGTCAACACTTTCCAGAACTTTTCTTACTGCCCTTATTGCAGTTTCATTTCTTTTTCTCTTTTTTTTTTTCTTTAAAGACAAGGCTCGCTCTGTCTCTGAGGCTGGAATGCAGTGGCCTTATCATAGCTCACTGCATCCTCAAACTCCTGGGCTCAAGCTAACCTCCCGAGTAGCTAGAACTACGGGCATGCATCATCATGCCAGGCTAATTTAATTTTTTTTTTTTTTTGGTCTAGACAAGGTCTTGCTATGTTGCCGAGGCTGGTCCTGGACTCCTGGCCTCAAGTGATCCTCCTACCTCAGCCTCCCAAAGTTCTGGGATTATAGGTGTGAGCCACTGTGCCCAACCCTACTTTTGTTTCTTGTGTACCTGATTTTTCTTCTATATTGTAGGATATTTTATAACAATAGTTGCCTTTTCTTCATCTTTTTTCCCTCAGAAACTGGAAAGTATTTTGTTGGCCAGAGATCTGAATGATTTAAGAATGATTTTAGTTTAAAATTCAGTTTTTTCTCCCAGGAGATACTGAGCTCTTAAATTAGTATTTCTTAAAGGGAGGGCAATAGTCCACCTGTATTAGAACCCCCTTAATCCTTGGTAAAAGTGTAGTTTTCCAGAAAATGAAATTAGAACTTGTGGGTCTGGATCCCAGAAGATGGATGCATTTGTATTAAGTGCCATGGTAAGTCATATTTACACAAAAACTGAAGATTCATTCCCTTAAATTATTATGGAAATAAATAAACATTAAGATACCATAAGTCTTATAATGTAGGAAAAAATTCCTTACTTTTGCATTTGAAAAAAATATGCTTTTGAAAACTAAATTCCTTATTGATTCTCTGTTTTTGGTCTTGATTACTGATTTGCTCACCTAATAGTTCTCTAATGTATGTAGGTTTAAGGAACTAAAAATAGAGATATTACTGACTGAACTAGTTAGTATGTAAAGTAGAAAATGGTACAACTGCATACTCAGTAACGGGTAGTTTTACCTTTTTCTGGATTCTTTTTTTTTTTTTTCCCCTCAATTTTTCTAGATTTTGGCCTACCTTGTATTATCTTGTTTGTTTGGTGTTAACTTTTTCTTTTGAGGACTGCAGGGATGACAGTCTTGTTTTCCTCTCCTGTATCACACAGCATTGTTACAGTGGCTCAGAAAAGCATTTCTGAATACTTTGAGGATTATTTATGTTTGTTATAAAATGAAATTTGTTGTTTCTGACTCGGAAAATAAGGATATAAATTTCATAGGAATGCATTTTAAATGAAGTTTCTTGAGAGAGACAGCTTTAACTTGAATTTTGCAGCAGCATCTAAAACGAAGCCAATGAAAACACCTTTTTTTCCCCAGACAGATATTACTCTGTCTCTCAGGCTGGAGTGCACTGGTGCATTATGGCTCACTGTATCCTCCACTTCCTGTGCTCAAGTGATCTTCCACCTCAGACTCCCAAGTAGCTGGAACTGCTGGCAGGTTCCACTATGCTTGGCTAATTTTTTTTTGTATTTTTTGTAGAGACAGGATCTCTACCCAAGTCTCAAACTCATATGATGTCCTCAAGCCCTCCCACCTTGGCCTCCCAAAGTGCTGAGATTACATGCATGAATCACAGTGCTTGGCGTCAGTGGAAACACTTTACTCTTGATTGTGCCATTTTCCATAGGGGTTGGTGGCTGGATTGTACTTTCTAGTTGTGAAAGTAATGGTGAGGTAATGGCTTTGAGTCTAGGGATCAGATCCTTCAATCAGTAGTAATATAAGTGAGAAGTATTAATATGACATAGTGAATTATCTATAATTTCTAGAGAACATTTAACTTGCATTCTTAGATCTGGAGATGGAGGACCGGTTGATTCAGACTACATTGGCTTCAAAGTGATAAATTCTATATTCACCTCTACTAGGACATATAGAAAAAGAAAATAGCTTTGAAAGTATGGCTCTTTCTTTCTTCTTTTTCTGAATAGTGACAGGCATCTATGAATAGTGATGAATTCAGGAAAACTCCTAGGCTAGACGTTATCTTGACAGTTGGTGGACAGATGCTCCTGATTTGAGTGTGAGACTGAGGTATTCAGAAAGCACTTCAAAACACTCTCCTATGCCAGCTAACATTATTTTCGTTATATTGTGATTGAGTTTTTAGTTGCTTTGTAATAATCCCTCAGATAAAGGGCCTGGTGTGAGCTGGGAAAAATGTTTATGATTTATTTTGAGCATAACAGCATATAGTCATTTTTATAAATTGTTTTTCAGACCTTATTATTACTTGTAAACTAATGTATTAAAACACATATTAACATATTAACAATTTCACATTGAACATTTTAAATGAAAATAATAAATGTTAATGTTTAAATGAAAAGTGGCCTTGATAATTTTGAAAATGGGTGCCCAGACTTACTGCATTTCTTGAGAAAGATTAATTGCTTCCTAGACAGGGTTCTTACGGTGATAGTTGTTTTTACATTGCTCATGTCTAATATAATATTTGAGGTATAATTTGCCATGGTATTTCTTTTTCTGAGTTAGTTGATGTTTTATTGAAGACATGAATCATTATGTGATTCTCTCCATTTAGGAAAAAATTTTCCATCTTTTTCAGTGGGGATTGGGCAGGTCATTCTCATCCAGGGTTCTCTAGTTTAGAATTTGTTCTTCTTAGTCTGAAGGAAGTTGTTGACTTTTTATGTGTATTATAAGGGCCTTCTTTAACTTCGTGCTTTGGTCTGGGGGTGTGATGATTACTAGAAATGGTGAAGTTATGTGATGGGGGAAATGCCTTTTATAAAACAAATTTTGGCAATTATGTTGTTTTCCCCTTAGCATTTTATTCATATGCATGTACTCAGAAGCATGCACAGAATATTTAGACATGTTAACATTTAGATGGAGCTGCTTTGATGGAACTTTATATTATAGAGTAAATTTAGGTTGTTGCTATTTTAATGTATATCTTTTTCTCTGAAGTTTTATAGTATAATGTTTCTTTTTTATGATAACCAGTTCAAATGTAAGCATAATATAATAAAACCTTAAGCTCGCAGTCTAGTCCTTGCAACACGAATATATATAGCAGATGTGTCAAAATATATGAATTGTTCTTAATGTTAAACTTTTGTTCGTGAGAATAACGTAACACCTGCTGTGACCTGCTAAGCTGTGTAAATTTTAATGACTGTAAAACTGAAATGTATTCATAGCCAAAATGTGTTTGGAAATTATTTGGAATGTCTTATGCTTGGCTCCTTTAGAGATTTTGTTATATAATATGTAGAAATTTAAATCTGCTATAAAAGTTGAAAATTATTATAACGTCTATGTTACTTAAAAGTTATCTAGAAAATTATAATACCTAGGTTACTTATATCTTTTCTTAAAAAAGTTATCTGTAGGGTAATCTCACCTCTGATGTGCCTTGCCTGGAAGCAACAGGAGTGTTATCTAATACTACACAAATTTGTTTCCTTTTAGCAGTGGCATTCTTTTAATTCTACAAATATTTTGATACCTTCTAAAAGTAGGTAGGATTACATTGGCATAGTAAATTTCCCAGGGTTATTAACTCCTTTTTCTCTCCATTATGTAAAAAATAGTAAGAAAATATAAGAATTATAAGGGTACTACTAGTTTATATTTGGTAGTATAGTAGTGGAAAGGGAATGATCCCTTTCCTCCCCATCATAAGGGTTATGGCCAACACTCCTATAACAAAATACAGAGTAATAAGAGAAAAGCATAACAAATCTGTTTAATTATAGTTTTACATGACACAGGAGCCTTCAGAGTGAAGACCCCAAACATATGGGACAACTATCCATTTTTCAGTGCTTAGGTTCAGTGAAAAATGGACAGCTATGTAGAAATAGGACTGGACAAAAAGGTTATGATCTAATATTAATAGACTGCATATAAAAACTCACCAAGACCTGTCTGTTCAGATTCTTCTTGGCCTCTCTCTTGTAATGTTTCTTCCTCCCAGGTATGGGACAGGACCCCTCTGATGAGGGTCTTATGACCTATATTATTGGGACAAGGGTAGGTCAGAGAATTTCTAGACAGAATTTCTGTCTAGGCCAGTTCCTAGACAGAAAGGTGAGGGGAAGGTTAGAGTAGTAATTGTAGTTTTTATGGCTGGCTTTGGAGAAGAGAGATCTAGTCTTTATTATCTGCTTTGGTGAGGAGGAATTCTGGTGTCTGTACTTGCTTTGGGGGAGAATGAGGGGCAAGAGACAGGAGGGCAGGAGAAGATGAGAGAGATCCAGGTTCTGAGGCTGCTTCTGATACCTTCCAGTGCAAAGTACTTTGTGTGCTGAAGTGCCATATTTTGGAGTATTGTTTTCTGAGCTCCAGCATTAGCCCTATTTGCCAGTAGAATATGGTGTGGCAAGTACTTTAAAAGAATGCTTTACATGCTTATTTTCTCAAGAGTATATACCGTGAGCTTTTCGGAATAGTTGGACCATCTGGGAATACGTAAAAAATAAAAGGAAAAGGACAAGAGATTATTGCATTTTGATTGGCTCCAAATTGTATTAACCCTTAATATTTATCTACTTTATAATTTTAAGATACTAATATTTGAGGAGATCTCTTTATTCGAATTACTGGTTTAAGATAATATTATGATATTAACAAGTCTCTTTTTTTCTCCTCACATCTTTTAGACCAGAGCAGACAGGCCAAGTCAGGCTGAGATCCTATTTATGATAAAAATCATAGAACTCTATGTAGTATTGATAAAACACATGAAGATTATATTATACTTAGCTTTTAATTATATTTTGACATTTGCTCATGTTTGATTTAGAACTTTTTTTTTTTTTTTTTTTTTTACTATGTCTTTTGGTCTCATCAAAAAGATTTTAAGATCCTTTTTATTTTGGCAAAAATATATGTAACATGAAATTTACCATTTTAACCATTTTTAACCATTTTTATTTTTATTTTATTTTTAATTTTTTTTGAGTTTGAGTTTTGTTCTTGTTGCCCAGGCTGGAGTGCAATGGCACGGTCTTGGCTCACTGCACCCTCACCTCCTGGGTTCAAGTGATTCTCCTGCCTCAGCCTCCCGAGTTGCTGGGATTACAGGCATGTGCCACCATTCTCCGGGCAATTTTGTATTTTTAGTAGAGATGGGGTCAGGCTGGTCTTGACCTCCTGATCTCAGGTGATCTGCCCACCACAGCCTTCCAGAGTGCTGGGATTACAGGTGTGAGGCACCGCGCCCGGCCACCATTTTTAGATATACAGTTGCTTTCATTTCTTATGTCTCTCTCTTAACACCAAGGTTATTAAGTAAGTATTTAAGAACATACAAGAGATGTTCAGTGTAGCAGAGATTGGCCAAATCCGTTTGCGCGTAATACACCTACTCTGCCCTAGCACCAATCTAGACTGTTTTTTGCAGCTGTCTTGGAGTTAGGTGTGGCCATACGACTGAGTTCTGGCCACTCACATGTGAGCAGAATTAACGCATGCCTCCTCTAGGCTTGGGTCATGAACATCTGTGTTCAGTGTTCTTTCTCTCTTCCCTTCTGATGGCAGTCATGAAACCAAGGAGATGGAAGAGCCTCTAAAAGGGAGGATTCTAGGTCCTTCAGTCACTGCCATTGAAAGGAAACATTGTTTTGACCTTACATGAGCCAGAAACAAAACTTTCATTGTAGTAAAGCACTAAGTTGTCATGATTTACCTCTCTCAGCAGCCAGCATTACCTTCACTGATACACTCAACAGTGATTTGAGTATGTAATTTAGTTTACTCAAAATATACTTCTCATTTCTTAGCAATTGGAATTGGTAGTCAGGAAAACTAAAGTTGAACTGAGGAGTGAGAAATTGGGGTGTGACTCCAGTTGGAGGAAGACTTGGTGTGGAACTCGATGAGATGAATAAAAGATAGAACAATTTGGAATGTTTTGTTAGGGAATTGATACAAAAAACTTAAAGTTAGCAGAGAGTTATGTGAATAAATTAGAGTAATTTTGGGAGTTGTAGGAGTAGGGGGGCATTATGAAATAAGAAAAGTCTCTGAGAGTTGGGATAGGATTTAAACACTATCGGTTTTTTTAAAAAGGAATTTTGCCACATTCCACATGCAGCTTGCAAATGTTTTTGCAATGACTGTCTTGACATATGTGATACTCAGAAAAAGGTGGAATGTTTAAATGAATAGAACTGCATACCTTATATATCTTGTTTGCTGGGAGTTAGATTCATTACTTGAATAATTTCCCTAATGAGTCATTCCCTTAGGGGAATTATCCCTAAGGGAATTATCCCCTTAGGGAATGACTTATCCCATGAAAATAATTGGATTATGGCTTGTTTTGTGCATATATGAAATCCAGTTTGTTGGACTTCTACAACACCTAAATATAGGTGAAATTTACCTTGTGTTTTGGACATGCAAAATATTGGATAGAATATTTAAAAAGAAAAAATTCATCAATTCATTTTGCTAGCATTTACTCTTCATAATTGAAGCTGAGGCTGGGTGCGGTGGCTCATGCCTGTAATCCCAGCACTTTGGGAGGCCGAGGCGGGCAGATCACGAGGTCAGGAGATCGAGACCATCCTGGCTAACACGGTGAAACCCCGTCTCTACTGAAAAAAAAAATACAAAAAAGAAAATTATCCAGGCGTGGTGGTGAGGGCCTGTAATCCCAGCTGTAAGGGTAGCAGCCTCGGGAGGCTGAGGCAGGAGAATCACTTGAATCCAGGAGGCAGAGATCGCAGTGAGCCAAGATCATGCCACTGCACTCCAGCCTTGGCGACAGAGAGAGACTGTCTGAAAAAAAACAAAACAAAACAGTAGATAGGTAAAATGTTTGTGGCTTTAGATAGCTTTTTTTTAAAAAAAACTTTAAAGTGAAGATTTAATAATTATAAATTAAAAATACACTACATGACTCACTTGATGTTTCCAATTTTCATCTCCTATGTAAGTAACGATACAGAGAATGCATACAATCGTTGGCTTGTGGACATCCATGTCCCCAGTTGTGTGTATGTTGGAAATGGTTATAAGACATGGGGATTTTCTTACCTCCTGTTCATAATTGCTTCAGCTACAGATCAGATTCCCTTCTAAACAAATGGTAAGAGACCACCTCAGCTGAGCCTTGGGTGGTGTTTTAGGAGCAATTGCTACTCTACTTGAAAAGGAAAGGTCCTCTGTTTTCTTATGCATAGCATCCAATGTAAAATGAATGTAGCTCTCTTCTTTGACCTTACTCTTATTTGCATACTTTAATGGGTGTAATCATAGAAATGTTGCATATTCAGCATAACTGGATTCTAACTTATAATTTATTTTAAAAATAAAAGTACTGTTAAAAGGAATTTGAGATTCCAGGATTTCTTACAAGTATAATGTACAATGTATGTTTTATGATCGAAATTAGCTGGACTTGAAGTCAAAAGAACTAGTTCAATAACATGTGTCTTAACTTGAAATCTTGGTTTCCTAATCTGTAAAATCACCAATATACTAGAATCTTGGTGTTAAAAGTAACCTATGGGGCAGTTTGATACCACCTTTAACTCAGAACTCAAATTTCTTTTATAACATCTTTGATATGTGGCCGTCCAATGATAGGGTGCTCAGTGTCTCATTCTTTAATCAGGTGCTTATAGCTTTGAAACTCTTGAGCATAGAATACTGATGGTAATATTAATATCTGACTTGTCTCTCATATGAAGTAAGGAGAATGAAAGCAAATATTAAAGTAGCAAGTAGTAGTTATACAGTGCTTTTTTAACTAATGACATGTGGGAACTAGTTACCATTTGTATTAATAATTTTTTAAAATGATAAACTAAATTTTAAATCTCTGACAATGACCATTGGAACCCAGCCTGTTTATCAGGTGGAGTCTGCCAGTGCTTCCAGTATTTTTGATACTACCTAGTCCTTGAAAATTAAAAATCTTGACCCACAATTTAAAAGCCACTGGGTATGACTCTTGGGAAGACATTTCGATTACCTAGTATACTAAAAGACTTTAATACAAATTGAAATTATATGGAAGTTACTTAAACATTTCTAAAGTAACACTAAACCACATTCTTTAATGTATTATGTGTCATGGGTAGCATTGCCTGGAAGAGGTAGCAGCAAGCTGAGTTTATGAAGGAAAAAAACTTCTGAGTGAGCTAAGGAGCTGGTGGGTAGAGTGTGGAAGATGGAGCAGACAGACTGAGATCCATCCAGGCCTGGGAGGGGAATGGGAGAGAGACCAGGGACAGAAGCCAGACTTGACACAATCCCTGAAGAAGATAAAAGAAAGTGATTTAATCACCTTCCAGATCTTACTTGCAAAAGGGCTACCTGTATTCTTTGGATGAAGTGTTAGTATTATTAGAATGACCCATTTTTACTTGTGTTAGCTTCAGTGGATCTTTGTTCCTTGTAACTGAAAGAGTTCTAATAGAGCACTAAGGTTAAAGACAAGTATCAGGGGTAAATATTTGGCTGAGGCCTGCTTCTGAATACTATTCTAGACATGACCTCTCCTCTTTTCGTTCTTTTTTCCACAACATCATTATAAAATATGAAGTAATCCTTTTTAATTTCTTGTCTTTCTGAATTTAAAATTCTATGTTAGGTATTCTCATTGCTTGATTTGTGTTTATTATAGAAATGAAGAGTTTGTTTTAAACTATGCATTACTCGAATTTCTGCTGAGGAAGTCCATATCCATATGTTAGGTTTTTTGCATCCCAAAGTCTTGGATTAGGTTTTGCCATCATTGTTAGTGTATCAATAGACCACTGCATTATTTTCTTAGTGGTATGTCAGTCTTTGACTTAATATTTGCAAGTATTTAATAATACCCCATACATTATAAATTAAATTGTATTTGGTACCTGCTAGATCTTATGAGAAATTATTCACATTTAATAAGAAAACAGCAACTTGTTACTTTTGTGGCAGATATGAGCTCTTAAAAGATGCAACGTAGGTAAATAAAAATGAGAATGTTTACCAGACCCACTAGGATCATTTGGTTCTGTAATTCTTATTTATGAACATTTTCTTACAGCTTTGTTCTAATTTAATTATCCCTATTCCCCTTTAGGTAAAGGATATCAGAATTGTGATTATATGAAGAAGAATTCTTCTTAAAAATCATGTATTCTTGGCAAATATTTCTTATTAGAAGCTTTTAAAACAGTCTTAATTTTTCCTTACAGACAAATTTTTCTGCAGTGTTGTCATTGATATAATCAAAATGGTTTCAGGTAGTTCAGAAATTGTTGACAGACTTAACTAAGAAAAACTTTTGATCAAATGGTGTAACAACACCTTTCCTGGACAAAGCCATCATTATTCTGTTAAATTTTCAGATCTTATATTCACATCCCATTTACCCTAAGTATTATCACTAAATGGAGTATTCAGTGTACACACATATCCTCAACTTGATTTTCCTAAATGGAAACAATTTTTTTTTCTCCACTAAGAATGGCTTTTTATTCATATGTGATAAAAAGATAAGTCATTTGGTAACACCTTTGAACCTGTTTTCAAAATAATGAAAAGTTTCTCTTCTAAAAATACTTTTTTTCTTTCCCTCGTTTATTTAACAAGAAGAGTTATTATGTAATGTTTTTCTGCAGATTTTTAGAAAAAGAATGATCTCTCTCCACTTTGTAGAGAATGATCCCATTTTTTGTTTAACACCAGATAGTATCATGACATTGTTAATACAGTAGGATTCACCCAGTTTGAAAGTATGCAGAATCAGACTTCTGTTGTTGGTCACATATTTCTCAATCAAAACATCTGTCTATGTCGAAACCAAAGTCGGCCCAGTATAATGAACTTTTAAGACCCATGTTAATATTTAAAAATATTTGGTAAACTGTAAAGCAGTATACAAAAGTGAATATTTTTATCCAAGGTGTAAATTGGTCATATGGCCCAATACCAGTAGCATAAAGGGAAGCCACTATACTAGTAGTGGGTGACCAAGTTTATTTCTGTTAAGCCAAAATGGAGATTTATTGTAGAAAATTATTAGTGGTACTTTCTGGATGAAGCCATTCCTTCTTAATGTAATTATGCCCAATTTCCTGGGTGGAGTCACAGTCTTTCTTCTAAAGACAGATTACTTCAAGCTTTAGTAGGGACTCTTAGTTCTGTCTTGAACTAACAATACCTTAAAATATTCTGCTTCTTCATGTCCCCAAAATATTGATCAGAAGGATACTTGTGGTCAAATGGATGCTGTAGAAATTCAAACCAGTGATTTTACTCCACTTGAAATTTAAAGGATTCATATGAGTTCTAGTTGAGTATGTCAGTTTTAGAACATAGTTTATATTGAGTAAACACAGAATATTTTACCTAAAAGGGTCACACAGATGTCATTACAGTGAATTTACTTCTGATTAAACTAATCTTGTTCCCTATATATTTTGATATATATTGTGCCATGATAACCAGTGTACTATTAGTGTTATTAAAGTCTTTCTTCAAATAGTAGATTTTTATAGAATTTTGAAGTAGACAAAATAAGTCAATTTATGTTTAGATTTAAAAAAAATGTGAAAGCTTTTCTATATTCTCCTCCCCGTGCCAGATAGGTGCTTGGCACAGAGTACTTAATAACTATTTAATAAATGACAGAATTTCTTTTCCTAAAATTTTTAGGACATATGCAAGGAAATTTCTCTTGCATCTAGGTTTACTGATGTATATGAGGAAGAGTTACATCTGCTTCAGTGAAATACAAAATTAAACCAGGTGATCTTTCTGAAAAATTATTCTTATGGTGACATATCAGAAATCTTATCAACAGCTATAGTTTATTCTGTTGGAATTTTCAAAATACACTGTGCCTTAACTTAGAAACACTCCAATGAACTTGTATTCATTAGTGTTTTGTTGAGTTAAAGAAAAAATATCTGTACAAAGTGGACACATTGTTTAATTTTGTTTTGCATTTTACTAGATTGCAGTGCAAGGCCAATAAATTAAACCTAGGCAGTTCTCTTGCTAATTACACACAACTTATCTTGAGTATCAGATATTCAAATCCATTTTATGAATATGGTAGAGAGAATAACAACTGTAAAACAAAGCAGTGTGCATGTAAGTGACTGTTAGCGTGCATTTCAGAAAGGATAAATGCTCACCATATGGTACAATTACTGTGTCCAAGTTTTCAAATTAGCTTCTCTCATCCTCCTTATTACTGTCTTTAAAAAGAGAGGAAAAAACCCAACATGATTTATCTACTCTGCAGCAGAACTCTTGACGCAAAACAGCAGCCCAGTTCTGTCCAGTTTTTTTTTCCCTTAGCATAATAGAGGCTGTCGGACTTTTTTATACTAATTACTGTGTGAGCCTCAGATGAACCCCCTTCAATTCACAGGGCTTTGTTAAGGGAGGAGCTGTCAATGTGTCTGCCCGTTTGCAGCTGTGCTGTGGCTTTAGCTTGCTTAACATTATGCTGCTTTTTAGACTTGACAGAAGGGATTTTTTTTTTTTTTTTTTTTTTTTTTTTATTAAGGCAAAGCAGCCTTGTAGCGAAATGGTTTAAGCAGCTGCATTGTAGGGAAGCACAAAGAAGTTATTATTGTGTCTGTTTAGGGGGGTAGGATGGAGGGGGAGATATTCGGCTGCTGTTGATGCCGATTGTTGACTTGCCATCTGCCAGATAGGGAGAAGAAAAAAATGACAGCTCCAGCAGGGTGTTCAAGAGGTTGTTTGGAGAGACGCATAAACATGTGCAGATGTCGAACTGAATAATGGCTAGAACTTGAGACGGTTTATGATGCTGCTGATGTTTGTGCATATACAGAATGAATGTATGTGTGGATTTGGTTAACCAAGGGTACATACTAATTATCATTGTTTTCCTGCATCCCCCCTCCCTTATTTCGTTAATTAGTTTAGGGGTTTAATACTTCCTCTTCTCTCCCTTATTCATGTCTAGTTTTAGAAAGCAACTTCTTTAAATGGCAATACAAAGTTTCTTATTTCTCCGTGTTGATGGTAGATAACCTGTTTGGCTAATGTTAGGTGTGTACTGCTAACTGCCAAGAGGAGCTTTTGATGAAGGAATCAGTCAGGTGATTTGGTGTGATCTTAATGCATACATGAACGTTTTAACACTAGTCGGCACATAAACTATTTTAAACTGAATCGATTTGTTTCATAGCCTACCACTAGGGGTGAGGTAGAGAGTACCCAGTTTATTTTGTAAGTAATTCCATAATACTTTGAACTTAAATGTCGTTAGTTGTGAAACAAAGTTATATAGTAACCTGGCCTTTTTGATCAGTACATACTCTTTTTCTCATGGTTGTCATGGATTCTATAAATGACAAGCGTGCATTTTTATCAAGCATTAATGAGTTGGTTGTATATTTCCTTCTGATACATTCTTGACATTAGGTGTTAGAGATTTGATATATCTGGAATGTTTTCAAATGCTGTGATAACATTTATATTTAGATGGAAGTGAGCATGTTTACTTAAATGTCTGGTTTATTACTTTCACCTTAAATAATTGAGAAGAAACAGTGACCTTAGGTAAAAATTTTCCATATTACTTATTTTCTAGAACACCAAAAATTTTTGTAACATTTCAGAACCAATCAATATGAATGGAATAACTAGAAAACAAAAAAGAGAAGCTCTGACTTTTCTCCTTTTTTCTTTTTTCCGCCCAATGTGGACTTAACATTTCAAAAAAAAATATGTGTGGAGAATTAAAAAGTGCTTATGTTGACTTTTGGAACTCATGCCTTCCTAAAACATTTAAGGTTTTGTTGCATAATTATCAAGCAGAAATTGCCCAAAGCATGGTTGAAAGGCCAACGTACTGACAGAGCTTCGTGTCCAGAGTAATGTCTTTCTGAAAGAATTAAAGGAAGGTTATCTGTTATTTTCTGCTTTTCATAAAGAAATAGAGGTCAGGTCTATCTAGAAAAAACTTTCTCTCTCACCGTCAGTTTTTACTCAAGTGACTCTAATCCGTGTTTGCTGAAAAGGCATAGAAAATCATCAGCCACCTTGACTTTTCCTTTGTCTCATGTATTTATTTCTTTTATATAGGTGGCCGTGAATATATCCATATTTGTGTGTAGGATTATGTCCATGTATTTACAGTTTCATAGTCAATCCTAATATCCCTACCAAGTTTGGAGGCGAGCAGTATGCCATTTTTTAAGTAGAAGGTGTTTGTTATTAAAGTGAGAGGGTATGGTTTGTCAGTGGTCAGGATATTAATGAGTGACTGGGAAAAGCAAGCTTATACCAACTTTTATACACAAGCAAACTTGCAGGTCTATGCTTTATTAATGATATGTTACTTCTGATTCTTTCAGAGCCATTTGCTAAATCTTAGTAGTACAGGCAAGTATACATATTAAGGTGATTGAAATATTAAAGGCAGAATGTCTTTGAAGTTACAAAGACCAGATTTAAATATCACTTAACTTAGATGAGTGAATTTACTCATAGTCACTTAAACTATTTAAATGTGAATTTCTTCATCTTTTGAAAGAAGGAAACAATACTTGCTATTCAAGGATCTTGTGAAAACAAAATGAGATAATATATTTAGAATGTCTTGAATGAATTCAGTAGTAGCTGTTAGTATTTTTATTAGGTGTTATGTGCAAGTCTAGAGCTCTGTAGCTATTACAATTGGAGTATTTATATAATGCTCTGACTATCATAGAATAAGAATACCAAGCTGTAGAGGCTGTTTGAGAGAATGGTCACAGATAGAAGGTTGTTTCTTGGAACCTTATGTTTATTTAGGGATATATGATTGTTTTATAAATGTGGAGGGAAATAAATTATTTAAAGAAAATATAAAGAAAACAGTTGGATAAAAGTATTTCGGATGTATGGTATTAGTGGTTATTTAGTGATGATGATTTCAAATTTTGTTCTTTTGTTTGTTTGTTTTTGAGATGGAGTCTCACTCCGTCACCCAGGCTGGAGTGCAATGGCATGGTCTGAGCTCCCTGCAACCTCCACCTCCTGGGTTCAAGGGTTTCAAGCGATTCTCCTGCCTCAGCCTCCCGAGTAGCTGGGACTACAGGCACGTGCCACCACACCTGGCTAATTTTTGTATTTTTAGTAGAGACGGGGTTTCACTTTGTTGGCCAGGCTTGTCTGTAACTCCTGACCTTGTGAACCACCCGCCTTGGCCTCCCAAAGTGCTGGGATTACAGGCGTGAGCCACTGTGCCTGGCCAGCTGATTTCACATTTTGTTCTACAAAATTATTTTTCATACTTAAAAAAGTAACCTCAGTTTATTTTGGAGCTGAACTTTTCTCTGCTACGGCCAGTACTTAAGCTGTATTTGGGTTATTATCTTTAAAATGAGACTTTGGAACACCTAGCTAAAAATAATATTTCTTCTCCTCATGGAGGTTTAAAGCATTATTTGATTGTCACAACTCTTTATTTTGCAGATGAAGAAACTAATTAAGCTCACATAGGGATGAAAGTGCTGAGATAAGCAGAAGTGTTTTCTTAGAGAAGTAAAGAGGATATGGCTTTGGTCGACATGAGGAAGTCAGTAAACCTAAAAGTATGATTAATTCCCATACAGATGTAGGTGGTGGTTCTTTACATTTTTCTTTTCAAATTGTTTTCATCCGGCATTCCACGCTAGTAAATATTACTGAATAATTTTGGATGATGAGTCAAGGGTTGTTGTACCTGGGAGAGCCACCTAATTTAGTATTTAAGAGTCTTTCATAGGACGGGGTATAGTGACTAAGAACTTCTATTTTGGTTTAAAAGAATAAATTGGTTACACTAGAAAAATAACGCTCACTTTTGAATGGAGTGCTAGTAGCTTCATATAAGGATATTTTAATGTTTAATGGCACATGGTGATGGATGCCAGTATTTCTAGACAGATAGTTAAGTGTTACAGTCTAAATTTATAAACAAATAATTTTTGTTGTTTTTTATAAAAAACAACTTACAGTACCAAAGAAGTGGAAATATCCATAGCCTATGAAATATATCACAAATGAGGATGAAACTGTAAGGACATTTTCACAAATAAATGAAACCGTACTTGGTATATTTTCAGGATAATTCAGAAAACTTCAGAAACTTCTAGCTTTAATGTATATTTGAATTGTGCCTCATCAAAATACTGCATGAATAGCAATTTTTAAAAATATTGGCCAGTATGTTGAAAACAGAGTATTTCACTGTCTGACATATTGTTTAAGGCATCTTGCTAAATGTTTTGGCTTAAATTTTTTAATGTGTTTTAGTTCAAAAAAATCTGATTAAAGATGTGGGTAAACGTGGTAGCACTTTTTAGAACAGAAGATGATTAAGATACAAAGGCAGGAAAAGCATAAATCGTGAAGTTTGTCTATTTTTTTGGCCAAGCAAGTCACTTATTTGCTTGAGACTGGAACACAGCATCAAAGTTCATAATTTTATACTTCTAAGGAAGAACGCATAGAACAGCAGTTGTTGTTTCCTGGCATCTTTTTGAAGAGATATTTAAACGTAAGTATATATATTTATTATAGAAAAGAATTTTATAAAATGACCTTCATTCCCTTCCCTGAATTTGTAGTATGTTCAACTGTTAAGCTAGTTCCTTTTACCTTTTGATTTAGTAAAGAAGGATTTTAAATAGAATTTAAATTTTTATGATCTTAAAATATCCATGATATTATATACTTTAAAAAGAATAAGACTGTTTAGTAGTTCAAATTTTAAAAATCTAATTTATTCAAAGTTATGCTAAATAATGGCATAGTTCCTGAGTGGAGAACTACTATACTTTGAATTATAGAAGCAAGGACTTTTTTGAAAAAGTAAATACAAAACCTAAATAAAACACATTTTTACTAAATGGCAATCAGTGTCATCCACGTGAGATCTTGCTGTGTCAAAGTAAATTTGCTGTTTACCTGCTTGTAATAATTTTTATCTTCCTTCAATAGAAGCTCTTTTTTTTTTTCTTTTAATGCTAGGTTTTGTTTTTTTTTTTCTATATGGGAGAAGTGGTGGGACCTGGAAAGTTGGATAGTTACTAATTAACTTGTATGTAAAACTCTGACATAAAGATTAGCACTTTTTATATTCTTAAAGTAAAGGTCTATCATACCACTGGATTATATAGGGTAAGTTACTCAGTGTTTTGTATATAAAAAAAAAACTTTGATAAGTGAATGCTAGAAAACTTTTCCTTTCTGTGAAATAGCAAAAGGAATAAAACACCCAGTGTACATTGATTGACTTAGATTCTAGAATGGATAATCCTTATGCTATGTAAAGATTCTTAGTGTAAGAATCAGTTATGAAAACTCAGTGAGTGCTTCAACTCCACATTGCCAATTTGTCATTTGCATTATATTTCATTAATAAATGAGTGATTTGTAACAAACGAGTGTATTGGTATTGGCTGCTTTTAAGAAGACACTTTGGAACTGAATTGTTATCCTCCTCAAATTACTTTGTCTTTACTGAAAGATTGTATATTTAGATGTCCTGCAGTTTTTAAAAACAAATTATTCTACAGAGAGCAAAACAGGAACTTAGATTATTTATGCAATGTAAAATTCTTATATACTTTTTTATTTTATTGTATTTTGGATGACTTCAGTGATACTGATGATTCCATGCATTTTCCTTCCTGATGCCTTGGTTTTAAGAAAATCTTTCCTTTCAAAGTCACTGGAAACATTTGAAAACAGCATTATTATGCTTACTGAGGTACAGATAATGATGAGGAAAGAAATATGTACGTATAATGAGCAAATATGCCCATTTCATTTTAAGAAATTTGTTTTTATTAGTATGATAGGTAAAGATTGTTTTCTGAAATTTCTATGTGTTAGGTAATACTGCCCTCAGAGGGCCAAGGTAAGTAAATTCATTTTTAACATTGAGAAGCAGCTTTTCTATTTATATTATCTATAAGCTTTCTTTGGGGAGTACTCAAAATTATTTATTTGAGTAATTGAATAGTGTTTGATTTGTGGTTGCATTTCTTTGATTTGTTGTGTTCTTTTAAAATGTTTGTGCCCTTCAATTCGACGATATCATTTAAACATGTTCAGTTCTAGTCTAAGAAAATGTTAACATGACTGGCCATAAATTGTCAAATTAGATGGGTTCATAGAGAGTATAAGAAAATTACCTGGAAAAGTTAAGATGATTTTACTTGGCGGGTGCGTTTTAGTTTTTGTGTCTTTGATAGCAGATATTCTAGTATTCAAAATTATTTGAAGCCACACTTTTTAATATAGAGCAGTATTCATTAAAATGGAAGCATAGATTCCCTTCAGTTTTAAAAACTTAAGCATAATCACATCTTTCAAATATAATATGAATCAAGAGTAATTTACTTTGCTGTATATGCAGTGGCTATGTATAAATATACTAGAAGTTGAAATACACTTATTCCTGTGCACTTATAAAAGCATACGTTTTTAAAGTAGAGGTAAAGACCTGATATTGATGTGTGACTTAACACTTCTTTGAATTCAGAATATTGGGGATTAGATGATGATTAATTTTTGTAATAAGAAAGGAAGAGTGGGGAAGGCCTGATGTCAAAATAATGAGGTGTTCAGCATCATGCTGTATATCCATGTAACAAACCTGCACATGTACCTTCTGAATCTAAAATTAAAAAAACCCAGAATAATGAGTTGTGTCCTTTTTTCTTTTTGTATGGAGTAACTTTCTTATAATTTGAAAGAAACATTGCAATGTTTAGTAGTAAATTCAGTGGAAGGCTTTTGATTTTTTTGCCCTATAGTTAGTTGTTATTGAATTAAGAAAGATGATTTCTGTGACAGTTGGTATTGTCAGTCTTTCACTAGAGATTTCAATGAGTTAAACATAAGCGACACTCAGTTCATTATTCTTAGTAATGAGGGATGAAGACAGGACATAAGCAAAGTGAATAACAAAAATAGAAATTTTATCCACAAAAAATCAATACCTCCTTTGCTCAGCTAATGTGCAATAGTGATAGTCTAGACAAATTAAAGAAATTCCATTTTATTTTAAACACTCTAGTTACTTTTGTGTAGTCTAACATATTGTACATATTAGGTACTCACTAAATCTCCTTTGATTGGTTTCCTTAGCCTTACTCTGAGATGTTTTATTCAGTTAACAAATGCTTACATAATGCTTGCAGTGAGCTAGATGTTGTTCTACATGCTTTACAAACTTTAATTTATTTCTCCATTATTATTGTCCCCATTTTCCAGAAGAGGAAGCTGAGACCCAGAGAGATTAAACAGCATTCACTGTCTCTCACACAGCTAGTGAGTGACAGAACTGGCATTTGAACCCAGGCAGTCCAGCTTGAGAGTGTGCGCTCCCAACCACTCTTTGAATCTTAACTCTGTCCTTTACTAGCTTGTCCCAGTGTCTCAGAGCCTCAGCATGGCTCTCTGTGAAAAGTGAGAATACTGCAGCACCAGTCTCAGTGTTGCTGTGAAGAGGGCTCTGTAAGTGAAGCCTGAGCACAGTGCCTGGCTGAGGACATTCATGTTTCCTTTTCTTCCTTGCTCTTACCTCTTCTTCCTTTCACCACTTAACATGCTGTGGTACAAGACTCAATCAGTACATTGTCTAAGGAGAACAAAGGAGGGAAGAGAGGAGTTATGAAGGGCATGGATTCATCCTCAGAATAGTGGAGCTCTCGGTTTGATGCAGTGCCATTTTAGGGTCCATACTACTAGACTTTTCTTAGAGGAAAAACTCCTTGGTAAGAGTCTAAGATAAAGTCCTATTAGTTTTTATTCTGTAGAGCATTGATGTTAGTATAGGAGTGGGATGGGTGGGTTGAACCACCTGAGAGTTTTTTCAGATGGCACAGACCACCTCCTGATGAGCAAGCACTACAGCCTGCCTTCTCTGCAAACTCCCAGTTAGTGCTGTAGTGAGGCACCATTATTGTTATTTGTCATATCCATCAGGCATGTTCTAACAGAAAAGTGGATTGAACCATACGAGGTTGTGTTATAGAGAGACTTCTCTGTTTGAGAGAGCTTTTCTGACAGGAGTATAGTCTTTATTTCAAATGGTGGTAGGTTTATTTAGTCATTGAATTAATGGTTATTGCCCACCTCTGTGGTAGTTTCTTGCGTTATGGACTCACTGCTTCCATATTTGGTATTCATTAAGGTTATTTACTGCAGTGTATATGCCATGTATGATATTATATTTAGATAATATAAGGTGGTAAAATGGGAAATATTTACAATAAGGAAGTTTTAAAGTTTCTGATGAAATTATATTTTTAAATTGGTCTATATTTATAATAGTTTAAAATTCTATGACTACTTTTTGAAAATGGTGCAAGAATGACTTTGTGTTAAATCCGGTGTGTGGAACTGGAAACTCTGCTCTAATGCAGTAAACAGATTTTTAAAAAGAAAGCTCTGCTTTCACAGCCTACAAGGGTGCAGATGTAAGCAAAATAATAACTTAGCTCACACTTAACCCAGCAGGAGGCTGCGTACAGATTGAGTAATTCTCCACAACATACCTACTGCTATGTAAACTAAAGTCACCGTTTATTCTTCATTAAATTGCCAGGATGCTTTCTGTTGGCTAGTCCGTGTGGATGCTTTGTTCTCTGTGTCTCCACCCAATGCCCCTGTGCCTTCCTTACTCACCTTGCTTTTCTCTTAGAGTAAAACTGGGTACTGTAACTCTATTAAGATGTTATTGTGTTTAAGAGAATAATTTAAAAGCATCACTTTGGTTAAAAATGTAATGTTTCCTAAAAACAAGTGGAACAAGGATTTGATTAGTCAATTTACCGAATATCATGAAACAAATACCAGAATACTTAAGGGTAGATGATAATTATGCAGTTTTCTGGAAAACAAAAGAAAATTGTAAAGCAGATAAAAGTACTAACAAACCAACCATACTGAGATCTTAGAGAAGTTGCCATTCTAACATCTTGTGGTTGGTATTCAATGCATAGGTATTTTTCTCATCATCTCATCAGCTTCAAAGCAAAACATGGACCCCAGCTTTCTTTAGGAAGCCGATATGAAAACTATACTTCATAATATTGCTTCTCGGACTTTTGGCTAAGATGAAGTGAAAACTGTACTTAATGTAAAAATGACAAGTTCATGCATTATGCATTAGAATGAGAGTTTCTTGACTATAATATACTTTTCAAAATAATCATGAGGGAACATATGTGGCAAAGCAGAGGAATGTGGGTACATCTGGAAAGCCTTTAAGACATCTCGGAAGCACAACACAAAATCACGAAAATTGTAAACACCTTCCGTGTGGCCAGCTGCAGTGGCAACATTGACCAGTCCAAGAGCAGACAAACATCTCAGTGACCCAGAGTTTACCGGGTGAAATAACCATAAAGAGAAATTCAGGTGTTTAAAAATCTGACCTTATTAATCAATATTATGCAGAAATCAGTGAGAAAGACAAGAATGGGCAATAATCTTAAAACCTGAAACGTAAAGATGTGTTATTTATTATTCTAGATGAAAGGGTAGTAAAGCTATTGCCTTGCTTTTGCTTGTGTTATTGTGAGGCTTCAAGGAGGAATGCAGGATGATGCAGTGCCTCATCTTGGAATCAACATAGCAGCAAATCGAAGAATCCTACGCTGATATTCTTCCCAGTCCCTTCCCCACAGTTAGACGTCAAACCAACAAATATCATCGACTACCTTTTTCTGAATCCACATGAGATGCTATTTAGAAATGCCAAAGAATAGGGGCTATTGCCATCCCCAGTATGACATTCTGGATCACTAAGAATGGTTAAAGAAATGGGAGAAATTTTCACTTAAAATTTTAATTAGTCAACTCATCCCCTTTTCTTCTCCACCTCTCACAGCTGCCTACTAGACTTAAAGCTCCACGAGGGCTGGGACTATGCTTGTATCATTTATTAAAGCTCCATGAGGGCTGGGACTATGCTTGTATCATTTATTGCTGCCTTCTTAGTACTTGTACATATTTTGACACTCACCGAGTATTTTTGATTGAATAACTGTTAGCCCGTTTTTCTTAAATCTAAGTAAAGATGTTTAAAGTGGCTTTTTTGATCTAGGTGGTCTTGAGCAGCAGCACCTTAAAATGAGTGAGCTGGGCAGGAGTTCATAATGCTTAGACATTGCTCAATTTTCACAGACTATCAACACACATCCAAAGCTGGTTGATGACAAGTGGTCAAAGACATTGCATAGACATCAGAATAGAATTTAACACTTTTCAGTTGCCTGAGGGCAAGGAAAGAACATGTTTCAAGACTCAATAAAAGATAAATGATAACCTAAAAATTCAGGTTTTTAGGAGTTGGAAAATCTAATCAATATATGTATTTAATAAGTACCTATAATATGCAAAATCACTTTAAAAAGTTACATTTCATATTGTCCCTGTGCAGTTGAAAACTTACGCTAGTTTATTGCAATGTAGATAATATGAACAAAATTCTTCAGGATATTTTTCTTTTTCTTTTTTTTTTTTTTTTTTGAGATGGAGTCTTGCTGTGTTGCTGAGATTGGAGTGCAGTGGTGCAATCTCGGCTCACTGCAACCTCCCGCTTCCTGGGTTCAAACAATTCTCCTGCCTCAGCCTCCCGAGTAGCTGGGATTATAAGGGCCCCGCCACCACGCCCGGCTAATTTTTATATTTTTAGTAGAGACGGTCTTGCCATGTTGGCCAGGCTGGTCTCTGACTCCTGGCCTCAAGTGATCCGCCTGCCTCAGCCTCCCAAAGTGCTGGGATTACAGGAGTGAGCAACCACGCCTGGCCCAGGATTATTTTTAAGACATCAATAAAACATGGTTATGATAAGTTGAGTGAGAAGCACATTTCTTTGATTCTCTAAGAGACATGAATAGGCTTCCACTCAGAACTAATTGTACTCCTCTGTATAAAACTGTAATCAGTAATTTTAAATACTGCAAATGTCTTATTATATTTATTGTCATGCATTTCTTCAGCAACTATAATTGATTACTGATATTTAAGATGTATCACATAATTATGGACTATACAGTATTTTTTGTGCTAATATTTATTTATGAAATCCATTAGTAGAAAAGATTTTGCCATATTCTTTTAGGTAGTTCATATGTGAAAATTTGGTGTCTGTCAACAGGCAACTAAATATTTACTACATTGTGAATGATGAAATTAAATAGATTTTATGCTGAAATTAACATTGTATCTGTTTTTGTCTTAGGTAAAAATTGGCTCATGAAGACTTTTATTTAAGGAGTATTGCCAAAGATAGTTTCTTGAAGCATGTACATTTATTTTTACTGAAAACTGCCTTTTTCTGGTTTAAAGCTGCTCTTTGAAAATTCATAAAATGTTTATATTTTTATGGTACTGTACATTTGTGTGTATCATTTATAAAAATTCAGAAGAATCTGACTTCTGCTCTTTTCTTTGGAAGACTAGTTTACCCCTCTGATATCCTGATATTCAAAAGAACTAAAAGTATTAGTCAAATTAATACTGTGTTTAGATGTTGGATAACCTCTTCATTTCCTTACATAAAATACATGTTTTATATACCTGACACTAGCCAAAGAGACTTAAAAAATTCATCGTTGCCTCATTTATGTAAATACTTCTGAATAAGTGCAGTACTGATTAGTAGAACATTTAATGTGTGGTTTGTAGTTGGATTATAAATTATATTATCATAAGTGGTATTAGTATTAGTATCACTTGCTAACAACCAAATCAAATACTTGAAATATGTCAGGTAATGTTCTAAGGGCTTTTTACATTATGTCCTTACAAAAACCCTTTGGTGGATAAAAACTATGATTTCTGTTTTTCAGATGAGGACCCTGAGATGTAAAGAGGTTAGGTTCATGCATCTAATAAATGATGTGATTAGGATTCAAACCCAAGCTGTGTGACTCCAGAGTCCTTGCTCTTAACCATTACATTGTTCTGCCTGGAGCATTTTAATGATGAGGTTGAGTGGGAAAGAAACTGAAGGCTAATTTGAGAAGTTTGTTGACCTCGTATTGATCACAACAATTTGTTGTACCTTTTGTTACACAACATAGCATTGGTTTAAATTAAAATTTCTTTTATTCTGAAAATGTGACCACATGCTTTTCACATTGACAGTATGGCCAGCTTTTTTTTTTTTTTTTTTGCATAAATTCTATGGCTCTCTCCCTCTGTAAATAATAAAGATTGCGAAAGAGGTTATTTTTTCATTAACGCATGCATTAAGTATAGATGTAATCTATACATTTTTTTCTTCAGAGATGTATAAGGACAAATAATCATACATGGTAAAAACTTTGTGACTTTGCTTGTGATTAAACATGAAAATTAAATATTTAAAATACAGCATTCTGAGGAAAGCTGAGCTTATACTTGTTTTAGCTTTATGATAAAACAGTAACATCTATTCCTGACATACATGTGAGGATGCTCCCACCGTCTTCCTTATGCAGTGATTAGCTTTGAAGACTATGTTACAACAAGTTTGAGTGAGCATTGGTATCTTAAAAAGCTAGCACCTGTATCGGAAAATTAGAATTTTTGTTTGTTATGCAACTCTTGATAATTAGGGTCTTTTTTTTTTTTTTTTGCATTTTTTCTTAGGTAAGAAGCATATTTTTAAAATGGTGATTGTGTTGTTTCTAATTAAATTCTAAATGAACTAAATGAATTTCAAATGAATTTTATGGGATTTGTGAAAAATAGTGCTATGGTTTTATAGATTTCTTTTCAATTGGATTGTATCTATATTTGTTTAGTTACATCTCAGTGAATCTACCCGATTGTGTTTTTAGCATAGTCCATGACAGTTGAAGGTAGAGATGAGTATTTCTGCAGTATTCTCAACCAGTACCCAGCTCACTTCACATCTTTCTACCTTTCATGAAGTTAGAATTAGAACTAGGTTCTGGAACACAATGTAGCCTTAAAAAGGTATCAGATATTCATCAACATGATCTATTTGTGAGGTCACAAGGCTGAATTATTTCTGAAGATCTTTTCCATTTGCATGTCTGAACAAATCTAGATATTCCTTAGTTATTCTAGATGAAAGACTATTTGCACATTTTAATCAATCACTGTTTAGTCCAGAGATGTACACTTCTAGCTTCTGCCTTGGCGCTTACGACTTCAGCTTTTACACTTACGACTTAAGCTTTTAAAAAATCAAAATGTGATTCTCAGTAGAGTGTTGATGAATAATGAAATAAAATGTTTATATATGGACTAATTTAGGTTGAAGATTATTAAGTAAAAATACAGTTTGTTGTTATCAGGTGAATGGTAGGAAGTGAACACTGTCAACTTTTTGGTGAGCTCTGGTTTGAGAGTATATAATTCATGATAAAGATGATTTATTTGAATATCCTATCCAGATCTTTTAGGTGGAAAGTGAGCATGAGTCTAAACTCATACCAGGTCCCATCTCAGGTTGTTATTAAAGACTAAGCCTGGCCGGGCGCAGTGGCTCACGCCTGTAATCCCACCACTTTGGGATGCCAAGGCAGGTGGATCATGAGGTCAAGGGATCGAGACCATCCTGGCCAACATGGTGAAACCCTGTCTCTACTAAAAATACAAAAAATGGGTGGGTGTGGTGGTGCGCACCTGTAATCCCAGCTACTCGGGAGGCTGAGGCAGGAGAATCGCTTGAACCTGGGAGGCAGAGGTTGCAGTGAGCCAAGATTGCACCACTACACTCCAGCCTGGTGACAGAGCAAGACTGTGTCTCAAAAAAAAAAAAAAAATAGACTAAGCCTGAGGTCCAAAATAATGCAGTATTTTTACTCAGCTGTGGAAATTCAGGATGTTTTCTATGGTCAAAATTTACTCAAAATCATTGAGATCGTTTGTTTTAACTACAGGGAATAAGTTATTAAGTGAAGTAAGAAAGGTGGCAAAGGTCCAGAATCTGAAGTTATTAGGACTAAGTAAAACCATGAATTCTAGCAAACAGTTTCTTCCACCCTCATAATTTACAAGTAGGATTCTCTACCATTTACAGTAGTAATGTGGATTTTCCTCTTTGCATTCAGAAGGTGCTAACTGAATCTGTACATGTCCTATGCCAAGAACTCAATGAGTAAGTAGTAGTTTTTAGCTCTGTTAGCAAGCCATTGGTCATAGTGTTTAGGAGCTGTATTTCCTAGGACTGCTGTCACAAATTAATAAAAAGTGGGTGGCATAAAACAACAGAAATTTATTCTGCCACAATTCTGGAGGCCAGAAGTTAGAAATCAAGGTGTCAGCAGGTTCACACTCACTGAGAAGGCTCCAGGGGAGAACCCACTTGTTGTCTCTTCTTGCTTCTGGTGGCTCTAGGTGCTCCTTGGCTTTTGGCCCATAGTTCCAATCTTTGCTTCTGTGGCCACGTTCCCCCTTCCTTTTCTCTGTGTGTTCAGTTTACTCTTAAAAGGACATTTGTAATTGGATTTAGGGCTTACCTAGATAATTCTCCAGGGGAAAAGTCCATCTTCTCAGAATCCTTAATTGTTAATCACATGTGTTGCCATATAAAGTAATAGTCATTCTTTTTTACCATAAGGTAATATTCACAGGTTCCTGGGATTAGGGTGCGTACATCATTCGAGGGTCCACCACTCACCTCACTACCAGAAGCCAGTATACCAGAATCCTTGCTGGGAAATGTATTTGTTTTGGTATTGATAACAGCATACTTCAACATAGGTATAGCTTCCAGCAAAAGAGTGTGAGAAAGAAGTGGAAGCACCCATGAAGATTATATATATATATATATATATATATATATATATATATATATATATATAGTGGAAGAGGTTGGGTTGGAAGTCTTAACCAGTTGTGACTGCAGTGCTTGCTGAAGGTTTATCTTGACGATACATTTACTATTTGGATGTATATTGGTGGGTGTCCATTGAACAATCTCTTTGGGATACTTGGTACATCATAAATGCTTCTTTTTTGACAAGACTTTCCATTTTAACCAGGTTGTGTTTTAAATTGGTTAAAACCTATGGGCCATAAACATAAAAGTATGATGCAATTTGGGTTTGATGCATCATGTGTAAACTTAGATGCAAATTCTGTGTTTAAAATAAAAGATTGACTTTTAGCAGTCCGTCTTAAAAGGATTGGTGGCAGGGAGTGTACTTTGTTCTGGGTACTTAGCCTCATAAAAGCTAGGACTTTCTGTCCATATTTTAGAACAACCTGACAACACGTGCCTTATCTGAACTCACACTGCCTCAACTTCTGAGCTAGAGATGAAAGTGTTCAGTTCCTTTTCGAACAGCTAGGCACCTGAAATCTGGTATAATACTGGAATTAAGCTCTATTAAGTTGTCTTTTTTTTTTTTTTTGGTCCAGCCTCTGTAACAAATTAATAATGAATGCATTCTAAGCATCTTCTCAGAAAGTTAATTCATATTATAGGTGAAAAATGACAAGAAAATAGATTTAGTAGTCTTTATTGGAAGTTTGAGATCTACTTCTGGCTTAGTATCACAGTATAATTGTTGATTAACCAAATCAATTTAAAATTATTTAAAAAGTTTGTGAGAAATAATACTTTTTTAAGGAAGAAGGGAAATTCTTTAAAATTTTTCTTCTATGTGAGTGAGTACATCACTATCTTGGTATACTGTATTACGTTTGAAGGATGCATAATACATTTATTTTTAAATAGCTTTTTGGCAACCAGAAGTCCTGCTATAGATCATAGAAAATATTTTAAAAGTTTAAAAATCTGCTTAATAAAAAAGATACAAGATTTATATAATGATGTTTTTGTGTTTTTCATCTGAGGATGTACATAGAGGGAAATTATGCTTAGAAATGAAAATTTGATTTCTTTTAATTTTACATTTCTTGAATAAGTGTATTCAGTACTATTTTAAAAGAAGAAGAAATGGTGTTATTCCGTGTTTTCTTTTGTATTTTTCAAATGGATCTGATTCATTTTATTTTTGGTATAATTATTAAACTATTGTGATTTACCTTTACAGAGTTACAGCATATTGTACCAGTATAAATCTCTTATTGCTGTACAACAACATTTGAAGTCTAAATATGTCATTAATTGGAGAATTAATACCTAATGATTTTGAATTTTATATAGGAATAAATGAAATGGAAAAATAAAATAAGAGCAATTAAGGAATTATTTTATTTTTCAACGTGGGAATTGTGTATTAGGCATTCTAGTTTTATAAATTGCCTTATTAAGTCATGTGCTTATTAATATTAGGGCCGTCTTTTTTCAGTAAAATAAAGTGAAGAGCATCACTTTTTTTTCTTTTTTCTTTAAATTTCTTTTTTGCCCTTACATACTTATGTGGAGGATACTGATCTACGTATCCTCTATTTATTCATTTGTTTAATAAATCATGATTGAGCATTAAGTGGTGGGCACCAGCTTGGGCATGTAGAGTATTATCACCTCAAGGAAAACAACTGACAGTATATGCTGTCACTGATGGAAATTGAGCTTTTAAGCAAAGATTAAATTTGGGAAAACAGATCTCTCGTTATGAGCTTGTCAGCTTTCCAATGTTTACTTTTTTCATGAGACTGGTATTGATAACAAATGTGATTGTATAATGAAATGTGTCAACATTAGGAAGATCAGCATAGCACGATAAGCCAGGGTTTTCTATGTGACCAATGCATAATGTTATAAAATTATAGACAGTGTTAAAGATTCATTCAAAGTCCAGTATAGATCAATGGATTTTCACATAATAGTACAGAAAGTTCATTGTTAAAAGTTTCAAGTTCTACATTGCAACTAACCTTTTAGAAACTAACCCTTGTTGAATTCTGGTGTAGTATCAAAGAATGATATCCATAACTATCTGAATATTTTTCCCTTTTTCAGCTTCATATCTCTTTGAGCCAGATTTTTTCCCCCTAAATTTAAACCAAAACAACATACTGCAGCAGGATGTTGAAGGCAGGAACAGCTAAGAAAATTAAGCTGTCTTCTATTAAGCCAGACATTAAATAGATTTGTAAAAATGGAAAGCAGTGCTGGTCTTTGCATTTTTCTTTCTTTAAAGAAAATAGTTATTTTTTATAAAAATATGTTATTTGTTATATGTAATAAATTTATTTTCAAGTGAAGTAAAACATTTATAAAATCTATTTTCAATTTCGAATAAAGTAAACATAGATAAAAATCTACATAATTTGTTGGTGCTCTAAGTAATATTTAAGGATATAAAGAGATTCTAAGAAGTTTAAGAATTGCTGATTCAGAGGAATGATTCCACATCTGAAATACATGTTGGGGTGAGATTGCCCTTTATAGTAAAAGATTTGGATTACATTTTATGGTAAGAGACTGGACTTTACAGTAAGCAGTAAGGAGTCACAGGATATTTTGAGCAGAAAAGTGATAAAGTGGTACACACAAGATTAATCTGGAGGTGATAGATACATTAGGATGGAAGTGGGGAATGTGTAGAGTGGGGAAAAACAGTATTAACAGAAGAGTAGATATAACGTATTAAGGGTTCAGTTGATTGGGCTCAATCAGAGAGACTTGTGATGGCAGTATTGACCTAACTGTGATAAGGAGGGGAACCTTCAGATGTTGGGTTTGAGTTTGGGTCACAAGAAGAAGCTGATTTGTAGGGAAAATTGAACTGTTTGCAATTTTTTTGTACTTCTTTGCCTAAGCATTTGAGATTTAATCAGCAGGTAGAAATAACCAGTAGAGAACTGAATCAATACCAGATAGCCTTCTAGCTCTTGTAGCATCATGGAGCACCTCTGTTGCTTAAAATTAGAAGTTGTCCTTTAGTAGGTAAGCAAATTGTAATGTAGTTGCTAAAAATGTGTATTTTGGTGGCTAGGTGGTACCTTATGTTAAGTTCTAATAAAGTATACATTTATTGACTATTATGTTCTTGACACTGTACCATATATTAATAGTTACTATGTTTGTGTATGTGTGAGTTTGCGTATCGTTGAAAGCCCTGTTAACCCATGTTCTTTCGTTTTCTTAAGTACAGCATTGCAAAAAGGTTATTTTTCTATGAAGAACAATAAAATGTTGCTTAAACAAGTTACAGTCAAGATTTATTAATGAAAATAGACTTTTTTCTTTCTTTTTTGAAAAAAAAAAGACACAATTAGTGGAAGAGAAACATCTATTTCTTGCCTCTCTTATGATAAATGTTTTTAATGGAAATTCATTGATACTGTGTGGATGATTTACCAAGGCTTTTTAAAACAGCTGAAAATATGCTCTAACAACCATCTGATAAAATGAAAAACTGAACAAAATGTGTACTCAGATGATTCTCTGAAGGAATAATGGTGCAAATGAATTATCAAAGTGTGAAATCATTAAAAACAAAACATGTTTGGGTTTTTATTGAATCTTAATTGTAGGCTTATGTATTTTCTTTTGTAAGCTAAGTTAAAAGAAAATTGAGTAACTAAATTTTTGGAGGCCAGTGTTGTAGGACATATATTGTACCATAATTTATTTTTTGCATAAAAGCTGCTGTTCATTTTTTTCAGCATTAACATGCGTGCTTTCCTCATGTAGGAGAATATATAAAAAACTGGAGGCCAAGATACTTCCTTTTGAAGACAGATGGCTCATTCATAGGATATAAAGAGAAACCTCAAGATGTGGATTTACCTTATCCCCTCAACAACTTTTCAGTGGCAAGTAAGTTAATTATAATTGTTGATTCATCTTGTATTTATTTATTTTTATGATTTTATGTGTCAGATATCTTAGGCTATATGAGAAACCTGTGAAAAAGTTTGGGTTTATATTTAATAGAGAAATTTTCAGCTTTGATAGAATTTCAGTCCCTTAGCATAGAGGTTATCGATAACATTTGGTCTTATACAATGCAATAGAGTTTAATATTTTTATGTAGAACTTGAATGTGATAAATATAATTCCCCAAATACATACTTCAAGTTTTTGTTTATAACATAAAAACAAGGACCTTTGAACTTGGTTGTTAGATTTAGCATGATTATAAGATGTTGTGGTACTTAATGCACTTTAATCAGTTTCCTGTCATAATCTTAGCTCTTTTGATTGTGTGATGAGAAACAGGTGATTTATATTAGAAATCATCTTCTGGGGAGATTTTATGTTCGTAGTTAAATTTTTCTTCCTTACAAATATCTAACAAAAATGTTTAAAACTTACTTAGAAATTTTGTATTTGCATGAACATAGCACAAAATAAACTGAAAGATGACAATGATGATAATGACAATGATTATTATTGTTATGTTATTACCAGGCTCTTCCAACTCTTCAAATATATTGATTAATCAATTAGAGAATCTTTGTGTTAATTTAGAAGTAAAGTGTTTTAAATTACGCTAAGTTAAACTTGCCTAAGATCTAGCTCGTCTGTATTATTAAGCTAAAATCTTTAACGAGACAATATCCTTAATTTTGATTTTGGTTATATGTTATCTATTAGCCATATTTGGGAAAAAAAGATACAAGGGAAATTTGAAGCTAAAAAATGCAATAATATAACAAAAAATTCAAGAAAATAAGTCTTTGAATGTTACAAATTTCATTTTACCATTATAAAAGCCGTGATCTTTTTTTACTCCTATTGTTTAATTCAGGTTAGCCCTTATTAGTGGGTTAGAATGGCTACTGTATTTTTTTTAAGAAAAAGATAAAACAATAAACCAAAGGGTTAAAAGATTTGTGAAGTCATTTGAACGATATGGATACTAACTTAAAAAAAAAAGCTTTCTCTGTTTATATTAGTGGATTCTTAATATAGATATTTTTTAAATGAGATCACTATGAAGTGTGTGTGTTAGTTAAGGAAAACATCTTTTTTCCCACCAAAATGCTCATTAGATAATAATGGTTTTCTTTCAATAGAAAATTATTTTTTAAACCCTATTGTCAACTGAAATAATATATTGTATTTTGTATTGACTTAAGAACAGATTTTCATTTTAAAGACTTTTTGAGTGAACATTTGCTTTAAAGTGATAGAAATTAGCTTTTAGAACATAAGCAGCATACATTATCTAAATGCCCTACCTAAAGCCAGTGTAGCTTTTTAGTTTATCCATTTTACCAGCAAATGTTATTGGTTTTTCTGAAATAATTTATAAAAGTACAGAATTCTTGTATCTGCTGATCAAAATGCAGCATTTTTTGACCTTATGAAATTTCACACCCCAACGAGTTTTAAAGACATACTGTATGTCACAGTCTGCCAACATCTGCTCCAACACTTCCACTGGCAGAGGCTGAAATAAATGCTGCACTCTTGGGGAAGGATCCTATTTAGTGACTGACAGTCAGCTTATTTATCCATGAAATAAATACTATCTGACATCTGTAATCTTGTATAATCAAGTAGCTGTAGGTAGTTGACTCAAACTAACAAGTAAGTTGTAGGTTGGCTCCTTAGTTTTAAAAAGTATTAGTAACATGGATCTTACTCTAAATAAATTTTTAGAAATTGATTATTACTAAAGCTTGACTTACCGCAATCTTCAATTCTGTAATAACAGTTATGTGAGGAAAGAATGAGTCTACTGAAATGGATACTAGCTGAAGAAGTAGTTCAAATTCCAACCTGGCCGCAAGCTGCAAGTAATAGGACCTTGGGCAGATTATTCTCTGAAACTCTGATCTTTATGTAGTTTCTTCATCAGCATGTTAGAAACATTTGGATTCAGTGGATTTGTAAGGCCCTTTTTGTCCCTGACATTCTGTGATTCTGTGGGGTGGACTTTGAGCAGGTCCTTGAAGAGTGAGTAGGAGTTAAGCAAATTAAAACAGAGAAGAAGAATATTCCAGGCAGAGGGCAATGAAGAATGTCTTTATGAGGAATTAAGGAAGGAACAATTGGTGCAAGAGAGGGTTACTTCACCATTGCTTTTTCCTTTGCCCTAGCCCCCTTTAGTACATTTTTAAAAAGATAATTTTACAAGGTATTTCTAAGGTATGTTGGGAAATGTTATATATATATATATATATATATATATATATATATATATATATATATATATCAAATTGTAGCTACCAAAGGGATATATATATCCCTCATTTTTCTGATAATTAAAGATATTACTTCATATTTAATCAATATGGGTTTTAATGAAATTTTACCAAAATAGGCTTTTTATTTATATGAAAAGAACAGAGTATGAGAACTGTAAAGGGGTTTGAGAACTTCCAATCTTAATTAAATTTTGAATTGCTTCCCTCCTGATTTAAATTTTTCAAAAAGATAGTGTTATACTCATTGTTTCCACTTCGTATCCCACTGCAGTCTAGCTTCCTCCCTTACTCACTTGATTGAAACTACTTATAATAAATTATTGAGTGACCACTTAATTGCTAATGTAGGGGAAAAGAAATATCTTTTCTTACCATTTCAGGTTCATGGCTGAGGCTCCTATAACAAAAGGAAGATTAACAAGAGAAAAACACACAAATTTAAGTAATAAAACTTTTATGTGACAATGCAGCCTTTGGAATTGAAGACCCAAAAAAACACATAAATTTTTTTTTTTTTAGACAGTCTCACTCTGTCCCCCGGGCTGGAGTGCAATGGCATGATCTTGGCTCACTGCAACCTCCGCCTTCCGGGTTCAAGTGATTCTCCTGCCTCAGCCTCCCAAGTAGCTGGGATCATAGGCGCACACCACCATGCCTGGCTAATTTTTGTATTTTTTTTTTAGTAGAGATGGGGTTTCACCATGTTGGCCAGGCTGGTCTCAAACTCGTGACCTCAGGTGATCCACCTGCCTTAGCCTCCCAAAGTGCTGGAATTACAGGCATGAGCCACCATGCCTGGCCAAACTTGTGTATTTTTATGTTTAGGGATGATGAAGAGGTGGATAGTCATAAGGACTAAGGGCTTATAATGGTAATAAACTGAAGGGAACTTAGTAAGGCTTGTTTGTCAGATTCTTTTCTCTGTCCCTGTGTCTTCAGGAATAAGGATATTCCTTCCCTCTGGGTATAGTATGGGCATCTCTCATATGGGGATCTTATGACCTATTTCAGGGGAAGGTCAAAAAATTCTTGCTAAGTTTTATGACCTGTCTCACGTGAGAAGGATGAGAGGAAGGTAAGAATGGCCTTCCTGCTTTTGCTGTTTTCTCAAATGCTAAGGTGCTATCTTTTGGGAGATCATGTCATGAACCCTGTCAGTAAGTCTAGTAGACATCTTTCAGTTCTTATTTTTCCTGGATTTATATCTGGGCTGCATTTTATACTGTTGATCACCATCTCCTTTTTGACCACTCCCACTGTGTTCTGGGATATACCTCTTTCCTGTTCCCCCCTACCCCTTAGGCTAATGCACAGTTCTGGTATTTAACAGGGTTCTGGTTGAAGACCCTTCACACTTTGTACTTTCTCTTGGGCGGACACGTTGACTTTTGGGGTTTCAGTTGCAACCTTGTGTGCAGCTTACTCCCACACTTAAATCTCTAGGCTAGGCCTCTCTCCTGAGCATTAGGTTACTCTGTTCAATTGGCTGCTGGACATCTCTACCTAGATATTTTTTGACCAGGTACGTCCTAAGATAAACTCAAGATAATTTTGTCTATTTCTTCCTTTGTACTCAGTATCTGAGTTCTGTCTCTGCCTGATCAAAAACATGGATCCTTTCCATGCCTTTTTTTTCTCCTTCACATCTTTACCCCACTCCCAATCCATTTCTAGTCCTGCTGATTCTGCATATTTCTTGAACCTATGATCCTTTTCTATAATCACCCCAGAATGAGGCCTCATCATATCTGCTGTAGATTCTTAACTAGCTTCTCTGTTTCTAGTTTGTACCACTCATACTCTTTCTTCACGCGGGTATCAAAGTGGTCTTTCTAAAATTATATCATAACTATGCCATTCCCCTGTGAAAGCCCTGCCTTGGATCATCATTGCCTACTGGATAAAGTTCAGCTTTCTTAATACATCATAGATCTCTTCAATCTGGCCTCTACTTTCAACTCTTGCAGGATCTCTCTTCTGCTCTACAATTATGTATCAGCAATACTGAACTGTTTATAATTCCCTGTACAACCTATGCTGCTTTTCCACTCTGAGGCTTTGTTTATGCTGTTCCCTTCGATTGGAATGTCCTTTGGTCCTCTATTTGCCTGGATACTTTTCTAAGACTTAATTCAGATTTTAATTCCCATCCCTATTCCTTGCTAAATTAGTCCTCTCTGCCCTTCTTAAATCTATTATCTTCTGCTGTTAACACATTGTTTCTTGGTTATCTTGTTCCTGTGCATGTCTCATTCACTGATCAGTAAGTTATTTTAGGGGAAAGAGCTTAGTCTTATTTATCTTATATCTCCTAGTGCTTGTATTTTATGACTTAACTTTTTAAGTGAACATCTGAAACATCTAGTCGAGATTTCTCTTTTTTTAGGTGAGAAAAATGAAGCCTTTAGAAATTCAGTGATCTTTTTAAGGTTGCCTTACTAGGTAGTAGTAGTTAAGTATCAAGAATAAAACTCAAGTGTCTCGACTATCACATAAATATTACTCCCCTCCCCCACCCCTATATTATAACATTTCCCCTAGATTTATGGTGATGAGACCTGATTTGGGGCCCCATTTCCAGCACTTAAATTACTAGGTATCCTTTGACATGGAGAATGGAAACTCCACAAGGCCTGTAGAATGTGGATAGCAATATTTGACGTTCACCCTTCTTTGGGTGGATCACATAAGAACTATTAATATATAGGTGCCAATGTAGTGCTGTAGAAATGTAAGTAAAAATAAGGTTTTTCAAGCATAGTACATCTCTAATCACAATTATGGTTTGATGGATTTCTAAGGATTGTAGATTGAGATATATACAAGAAACATGCACTTTAAAAAATAATATAGGATACATACATTGTCTCAGGGCTGCATTTTATTTTACTTTGAGTAAAACAGTTTGTCTGTCCAGGAGTCATGGTCTTGCTAACATTTTGACAATTTGTATGAACCTCTCTTGAGTTTACTAGCTTGCTCAGTTCCAGAGTGGGAGTAGTTCCCACATGGAGGACGTGTGCATTTGCCCCTATGTCTTGGGCTTATCCTACTTCTGATCAATTCCTTCTTATTCTCTGTGGTGGGATGGGAGAAGTGCCAGCCTGTGTCCTAAGAAGCCTCTCCTAGAATTCTACCTTATTCTATGCTGCAAATATTGTCCCACCCTGACAATATGCTTTTCTTCTCTGAAACCTTTCTTCAGTCCCTTCTTAAAAAATAGGTTATTTCTGCATTTATAAGCACAATTTTAAAAGATGAAATATTTACTCTTTTTTTTCTTTTTTCTTTAAGTTTTTTGTTTTTTAAGACAAGATCTCACTCTGTCACCCAGGCTGGAGTACAGTGGCACAATTACAGCTCTCTGTAGCCTCAATCTCCCAAGCTTAAGTGATCCTCCCACCTCAGCATCCTGAGTATTGGGGACTACAGCTGCATGCCACCTCATCTGGCCAGTTTTTTGTAGAGACAGGGTTTCACCATTTTGTTCAGGCTGGTCTTGAACTGGGCTCATCAAGTGATCCACACCTTGGCCTCCCAAAGTGCTAGAATTATAGGCATGAGCTACTGTGCATGACCAAAGTATTTACTCTCTAACCGACTTTTCTCTCTCTCTTTGCAAGTAAGGGAATTATGGGACTTAAACCTACTAACAAACATCTTTATCTCATCCCAGATGCTTGGGTGGCTAAGGTGGAAGGATCGTTTGAGACCGGCCTGGGCAACATAGAAGGACCCTGTCTCTTTAAAAAAAAAAAAAAAAAAAAAATCTTTGAATAAATATTATATACAGAGATTTTAAATATGTAGAAAAATCAGTTGATTCCTATTAATACTTCTAGTGGACATACATGGGGATAGAGAAAAAGCTTATGACTTGATTCTTAGTCTTGTGTAACAGATAATACAACCTAGAATAATAACCTTGTAATTCTAGAAAAACTACAGACTATGTAAATATATACTATATAAATGTACATGAATTATGAGAGATCATAATAATTCACCTTCGAAGTGTTGATTGATCATTATACCCATACCTGATAGTGAAAGGAATATATAATAAAATTTTTATATGTAAGAATTTGTCATTGACTATGGAAGACATTCACATAGAACATATAGCAGTGGGAGGAAAAATAGGATTAATTGCCAAAATGAATTCTGTAGAAAGTAGCTGCTGTAGAAGTTGAGAGAAGCAATAGGTAAGTGTTGGCGAGGTTGACTGAGAATTTACTCAGGAGATGGGGTTAACATGAGCCCTGAAGAAGAGGATTTGATTATGTTTTTGTAAGACAGAGGACAGTCTCAGGTTAACAACATAAGCAAACAAATGAAGGCAAGTATTAAGGAGTAGCTTGTTTTGTGAATGGTATAGGCAATATCCTAGATGGATGGAGAATTTATGCTGGAGGAAAAAAAAAAGCTCAGATTAGAGAGTTAGTAATCAGATTATGGAAAGTCTTAAATATCAATGTGATGAAATTTTTGAACATCCGGTTTCCAAATCAGTATTCAATTTTTTTAAAAGGATGTACCTGGTTATAGTGTGCAGTGGAGGGGATACATCCTTAAACAAACAGGCTGCGAGTCAGTCAGCAAGATACAGTTTAGTCCTCATCCTTTTCAGTCTTACTGCTACCATCCTAGCTCAGTGCTTCATCACTTCCTTTCTGGATTATGTTAAGTCTCCTGATCAAGTTCTTACCTTCAAATATTATCTTTTCTGGAATATTTGGAAACAATGCATAAAATAGATTCATCTCCAAAAAAAGTTCCTTTGCAAATACCGTTCTCCTTGCTTAGAAAAATTTCAGATGTTCTCCATTTTTGACAAGGAAAAGCTGAATTATTTTTTAATATATATCCACAATTAAACACTTGCCCAAATAATAACTGTGTTTATAGCCTATATCTTTTCATTCTTTTTTTTCTGTTACTCTTTAATGTTCTATACATTTTCTTTTTGACATACATTGCTATATTCTGGTCAGGTTTAATTACATACAAAATTCCTAACCCTGTGTTTGTTTTTAATGATTTTTAGATCATTTAATCATTTTATCACTTGAAGATTTGGTGCTTTCTTTTTTTTCTTGATTTACTTTATTTAAAAAACATTTTTAATTGATACATATTAGATGTACATATTTTCGGGTACATGTGATTATTTGATACATTCATATAATGAAATCAAGGTAATTGATAAATCCATCACCTTAGATACTTGTTTTTTTCTTTATGCTATCAAATTTTTAGACAAATGGAAAGTTATATCTGTTAACAGGTGTATCCCACTGTAAGGAATAGCTGCCTTATCTTAAGAAGTGAATTACCGTAAATTTAATCAAATTTTGCTTCTCGCTTCTATTTTCATAGGTAGTGTTATGTTCAGATATTTGCAGAATTTAACCTTAAACCAAGTTTAGAATTGGGAATGGAGAAAACCTTTGTAAAAATTATTTTAAAATGAGATCATTTTTAAGAAAACTATAATGTAACAATGTCACATATTTCCTTCTTCAGGCTCCAATTCAAATCATACTCCAATTTGAAAAGAACAAAAATTCCACAAAACGTTCATTCTTTCCTACTTTTTCCTTACGTTGTACAACAAATGTGGAAAGAAAAAAAAAACAGAAAAAGTGTATCCCATCTTAATGAAAATGACTGCGGCAGTCAAGAGTTTCAAATCCAGCTGCCAGGGGTGAAAGCAACCCTCTGCATCTCTGAAAGATTTCATCAGTGTTATCTCCTTTATAATCATAACTTTTCATGTGTATCATCTGAGTTTCTTATTAAATAATCTCACTATTTTAATAGTTCCTTCATTATAACACTACAGGTGATCTGATCAGATTTCTGTTTTAGAGCCTGCTTCCTCTTCTTTAGTAGCTTCCACGATCTCCCAGCCTTTTCCTGATTTGTATTCCCAAGCCAATCATTTTAGTTACAGTCTTTACTTTCTGAGCCTCTTTTATCAGAATATAAGGAATGGGGGGGCTTATTTAGAATCAAAGGGAATGGTAAACTTGTAGAAGACAGTGACCATGCATACTCATTTTAAAAATGTCCCACAGCATTTATTACAATATCTGGTATACTGGAACATCATTGGACTTGTAGTCAGAAGACCTGACTTTGGGACTAGGTTCTACTGCTTTACTAGCTATGTGATCTTGGGCAAATCACATAACTTCTCTGATTTTCATTTTGCTCATCTTTGAACAATGGAGCTAATGATACCTTCTTCACAGGCTTACAGTGAGGATCAAGTGAGATCATATAGCCGAGTGGTGTGGCTCACGCCTGTAATCCCAGAACTTTGGGAGGCTGAGGTGGGTGGATCACTTGAGGTCAGGAATTTGAGAGCAGCCTGGCCAACATGATGAAACCCCCATCTCTACTAAAAATACAAAGATTAGCTGGGCTTGGTGGGGCACACCTATAGTCCCAGCTACTGGGCTGAAGCAGGAGAATTGCTTGAACCCGGGAGGTGGAAGTTGCAGTGAGCCAAGACCATGCCACTGTACTCAAGCCTTGGCGACAGAGCAAGACTTTGTCTCAAAAAAAAAAAAAAAAAAAAAAAAAAAAAAAAAATATATATATATATATATATATGAAAACAATTTGTATGTTGTAAAATGCTATCCAAATAGTATTAACGTAAGATAGAAGGTACTTAGTAATGTTTGCTGAATTAACTGGCAATCATTCCTCCTTTAGCTAAATTACATTGGAGTGAGGAGGAAACCACTTTACTGAGCTTTCTTTAAAGAGTCTTAAAGGTTTTAGAGAACTTGCTTACAACAGTCTGTTGCAGTTGAGGCCAAATACTATTGTTTGGTTGGAGGAAAATTTCTAGTTTCATTTCATGCCTAGGACTTTGATTAGTCAGGGCTATTCTTTCTTAATGACTAAACAGAGTGAGGTACATTCCCAAACCCTGCTTATGGCCTCCTTCTGGCCAAAAAAGAAGACATCACTATGGCTAAAGAAGTAACACCTAATTCTGTGAAGAAAGTCAATGGTAGCTTGATGGGGATAGCATTGAACCTATAAATTACTTTGGGCAGTATGGCCATTTTCACGATATTGATCCTTTCTATCCATGAGCATGGAATGTTTTTCCATTTGTTTGTGTCCTCTCTTATTTCCTTGAGCAGTGGTTTGTAGCCTTCCGTGAAGAGGTCCTTCACATCCCTTGTAAGTTGTATTCCTAGGTATTTTGTTCTCTTTGTAGCAATTGTGAATAGGAGTTCACTCATGATTTGGCTCTCTGTTTGTCTGTTATTGTTGTATAGGAATGCTTGTGATTTTTGCACATTGATTTTGTATCCTGAGACTTTACTGAAGTTGCTTATCAGCTTAAGGAGATTGGGGCTGAGAAGAAGGGGTTTTCTAAATATACAATCATGGCATCTGCAAACAGAGATAATTTGACTTCCTCTCTTCCTATTTGAATCCCCTTTATTTCTTTATCTTGCCTGATTTCCCTAGCCAGAACTTCCAATACTATGTTGAATAGGAGTGGTGAGAGAGGGCATCCTTGTCTTGTGCTGGTTTTCAAAGGGAATGCCAAGAAAGAGCCCATATAGCCAAAACAATCCTAAGCCAAAAGAACAAAGCTGGAGGCATCACGCTACCTGACTTCATACTATACTACAAGGCTACAGTAACAAAAACAGCGTGCTACTGGTACCAAAACAGACATGTAGACCAATGGAACACAACAGAGGCCTCAGAAATAACACCACACATCTACAGTCATCTGATCTTTGACAAACCTGACAAAAACAAGCAATGGGGAAAGGATTCTCTTATTTAATAAATGGTGTTGGGAAAACTGGCTAGCCATATGCAGAAAACTGAAACTGGACCCCTTCCTTACACTTTATGCACAAATTAACTCAAGATGGATTAAAGACTTAAATGTGAGACCAAAAACCATAAAAACCCTAAAACTGTAAAACCATAAAAACCCTGGAAGAAAACCTAGGCAATAATATTCAGGACATAGGTATGGGCAAAGACTTCATGTCTAAAACACCAAAAGCAATGGCAACAAAAGCCAAAATTGACAAACGGGATTTAATTAAACTAAAGAGATTCTGCACAGCAAAAGAAACTATCATTAGAGTGAACAGGCAGCCTACAGAATGGGAGAAAATTTTCGCAATCTATCCACCTGTCAAAGGGCTAATATCCAGAATCTACAAGGAACTTAAACAAATCTACAGGAAAAAAGTACCCCATCAAAAAGTGGGCAAAGGATATGAACAAACACTATGCAAAAGAAGACATTTATGTGGCCAACCAACATATGAAAAAAAGCTCATCATCACTGGTCATTAGAGAAATGCAAATCAAAACACAATGAGATACCATCCCACGCCAGTTAGAATGGTGATCATTAAAAAGTCAGGAAACAACAGATGCTGAAGAGGATGTGGAGAAATAGGAATGCTTTTACACTATTGGTGGGAGTGTAAATTAGTTCAACCGTTGTGGAAGACAGTGTGGCGATTCCTCAAGGATCTAGAACTAGAAATACCATTTGACCCAGCAATTCCATTACTGGGTATACACCCAAAGGATTATAAATCATTTTGCTATAAAGACACATGCACACGTATGTTTATTGCAGCCCTATTCACAATAGCAAAGACTTGGAACCAACCCAAATGACCATCAGTGATAGACTGGATGAAGAAAATGTGGCACATACATACCATGGAATACTATGCAGCCATAAGAAAGGATGAGTTCATGTCCTTTGCAGGGACATGGATGAATCTGGAAACCATCATTCTGAGCAAACTCTCACAGGAACAGATAACCAAACACCGCATGTTCTCATTCATAAGTGGGAGTTGAACAGTGAGAACACAGGGACACAGGGAGGGGAACATCACACACCGGGGCATGTTGAGAGATTGGGGGCTAGGGGAGGGATAGCATTAGGAGAAATACCTAATGTAGATGACAGGTTGATGGGTGCAGCAAACCACCATGGCACGTGTATACCTATGTAACAAACCTGCACGTTCTGCACATGTACCCCAGAACTTAAAAGTATAATAAAAAAAAGTAAAAAACATTTATACAAAAAAAAGTATTCAATTAACATATATTGATTGCTAAAAAAAAAATAAATAAGATCTAACACCATTGGATCAGAGACAAGAGTTTGGGTGAGGGCAAGGGGAACGGGGTATAGACCAAATTCTTCAAACCCTGGGCTTTGGAAGACAAAGCTGCTGCAGGCTGAGAAAGACCTGTGTGACTGTTGTTATTCCCTTTTTAGTCAGAAGTTGTTTTTTCTTAAAGTAATAAAATCCTTCAGTATTTTTCTGACTGGTTGAAGAGGATCCTATCCATTGGAGGAAAAATTAAAGGTACTTTGCTTCCTAGATTACTGCTTTATTGAGAGGTGGAGGATGCAATGGGGATTGTTTTTAAAGGAAGGCAGGCAAGTAGTTATCAGCTTCAATAGTTTATACTGAGGACATAGAAGAGATTCCAGCATGACCACCTTCCTTTATTCCTTTCTTTTTCCCTCTTTCCTTTCCTCTGTATCTGCCTTCCCCCCTTTCTGTCTCACTCAACTTTTTCGAAGGTCAGCAATCAACTATTACTTGTTGATAGGTGCTTAAGTAAGGGAATACCCTACATATAATTAGTATCACTCAATTATTTTTAAATACTTAGGACTCCTTCCTTGATTTTCTTTTCTAGCCATCTCAAATAACAACCATTTGCACCTACTGTGTTTTGAAGTTTTCTACCTTGTGTGTATGTGTTTGACTTAAAGTAACACAATTTGGAAACATAGGAGTCATCAAAATTAATATTTAAATATATTTTTTAGGAAGTCTAAATTGTAATGAATATTTAGGAAGTTTTTATTGAGGGTTATTATGTTCTCAACATTGTACCAGGTACTGAGGGGAAAAAAGAAGGAAATAAGGAAACCAACCTTTCTTTGAGCGTTACTATGTATCAAGCCCTTTCACATATGTTTTCTCATTTTATCTTCACAACAACACTGTGAGGTAAGTATTATGCTCCCCATTTTAAAGGAACTCAGAGTGGTTATATGACTTGCTTAGGCCACTGTTTGGCAAATGGCAGAGCCCACAGCATGAACCCATGTCTAACAGAGTGAACCTAGAGTTTTGTGTTCATTTTCTTATTCCACAGATACAAGATCTAGCCCTTGGCTTTAAAGAATTTATAGTCTAGTAGCAAAAATATGCCACAGACCCTTGGGATTGGTATTTTGAGATGTTTTATGGCTAAGTTTTGAAGGGAGTTTTGCAATTAATACATGCAGTTACAATTTAGGAAAAAGAGGTATCATTAAAGACAGAATCATCAAGAAAAGCTTCTTTGGACATTGAGATTGTTTGGAGAAATAGTAAGATTTCAAAAGATAAAGTTACTTTCCAGGTAACAAGAATAGCATTAATTTGAAAAATTATTTCTGAGAAACTTTGGCTGAATTTCTTTTCATCTTGTCAAAGTAAGTGGGTATGAAATCTTCAGAAATGAATGAAAGCTCCAGATGGTATGTTATGTCCTTATCCCTGTATAGAGTGAAAAATATCAAATGAGGAAAAAGAATAAATGATAGGAATAAATATGGCGTTTGAAATACTTAGCAGAATGCCCTAATCATGTCAGACATTGTTTTCTCAGGGCCACAGTTAGGCACTAGCTACCCTGTTTGTTAGCTTACCTCGTGTTTTATTTGTAGTTTCTGTAGTAACATTGCTGTTCATCTTTTCTCCTGGTAGAATATAAAATAATTTTACTGACAAATAAATACTCCATTTTAAAATCCTACCTACAGAGTTTTTAAAATTTAAGCTAAAAAGGTTATAAACTGTAGCTTGGAAGGTGGTACATTATCTCTTTATATATTTATTTTTTAAAAATTTGCCTTCTTGTATGTAGGGAAGTTGGAGTATTGTGGATGGGAAGTGGAGGGTGGGGTAGGAGGATCACCACCTGCAGCCTGCGTGTGATAAGGCAACTGTAGTGTATTTACTGTATAATTTTTTTATGACCTTATTAAACGTATAGATTATTTTGGTTAAGTTGAATGTAGATAACTATTTGATTTACTTGTTGAATTTTTTTTTTAGTGTGTCATTTTAAACTTAAATTTATAGTTTCTAGAAAGAGGATTGTGCGTAACTAGTTTTTGAAATTGTAATTAGAAAGATGATTGTTTGCCCATTATATTTGGTGTTTTAATCTCATTTTATAATTAATACATCGGAAATTAGGAGGGCAATTAAGGAAGTAAAGGAAGAAAATTAACATTTTTAAAGAGCCTGCTTTTTACAAGGTGTTTTATTTGTGTAATTGCATTTTGTCATCACATGAAAAACATGAAATAAATATTATTACTTAAAGGAAAAAAAACTAGATAATGAATCTGAGACCTAGAGAGACTGAAAAACTTGCCCAGAACCTCAAAGCAAGTACGTGGCAGAACTGTGATTTGAACTCTAACACCTGGTTTGAATGCATTTAATCATATATGGTGTTCAGAGATGACAGCTCTCTTCAAGTAATACGTCGTCAGCACCCATAGAACTTTCGTGCTATGCCACGTATCACCCAGTGGGTTAATAGTGGACTCTCATTGTTGTCAGGAGTTGTATTATATATAATAGCGAGACTTCTTTCTGCTAGAGCAAAGGAACAAATATAGATGTCGTAGATGGGTGGCTGATAAATTTGATAGAGTTTTATTATGTAATGTTGAGCCAGTCGCTTAACCATACTGGGACTCAGAATTTTGTCATCTGTAGAGTGAGGGAGTTAGAGTGAAGGATCTCTAAAGTCCTTTCTTCTAATTCTAAATTCAGTGGTTTGCCTATCAGCAGCAGATAATTATTTCTTGAAATATTGAGTATATTGTGGAGTAGTATAGTAATAAATTACCACTTGTTGAGTACCTTCTGCCTCGTATTTTACATACATATATATATGTACATACATACACATATATGTGTGTGTTAGTAAGATATATTTAATGTTACTAACATCTTTGGAGGACAAACAGTCTATTTTATAGCTGGAGAAACTAGGTTCATGGAATTTCCCAGTGGCAAGGAATTCTTTCAGAGATGGAGCTGGGAGATAAACCTGCAGCTTTCAAGTTTCCAGACCAGTGCTTTTTCCATATTCCTACTTAACTAATGGATCTCTGACTACCTTACAGTAGGGCCTTGAGGTGAGAGGTTTTCCAGTGTGGGCAATTCAGAAGATATGGGTTTTCCATGCCTCTAGACTAGTCTGTCTGTCTGTATCATGGATCAGATCTTGTCATTCTTGACTAATACATGAAGATGTATTTGAGAACTTTTGGATAATTCCATTTAGGGAAACAGCAGCTTAATGTAGATGATTCACTAGTATGTGAAGATTTCAGCATTGCTTTTCCAACTAAGTCATAGAAGCCATAGGGGAGACACTGATTTTTTTTAGAGGCAGAATCATCTGAATATTTGCAGTAAGTTATATAATCATTGCATTTTTAACAAGTTGAACTTGAGGGACATGTTTTGTTGCTTCCTCTGAGTTGATACATGCTAAATTATTGGCTTTCTGATTTTTTCACCCCTATATCTTTATTTTAATTTAAAAGCGTTTATTATACTTTGAGTAAAGTTAAATGAGGCCTAAGGCCACATTGGGAGGAAGAACCTTTAAGCCTTGGAATTTAGGAAAGATACAGAGGCGTTCTTTTGGGTTGGAAATAATACATAATCAAGCAGATGCTAATGAAAAAATGAAATGCAGGGGAAGAGAAAAGAGACTAGGGTGCCTGTTTGGAAGTTTTATAGAGGAGAGTACATTGCCCCTTTATTACAATAATGTTTCTGAACTATAATAAGGTCTTTCATTGCAAGTTCAGCTTTTTTCATTCATTTGTTTTGTGCTCTGCTTCCTCTGTTACTAATTGTCAGCACAATAGTCTTCCAACTATGAAGTCTCAGTGTCCTTTTGGACCAATTTGTCATTGTCTTTCTCCCTCACCCCCCAACCCATGCACTCAGAATCTATTACTATGGTTGCATTTTTAGACATTTTTAATGTTTTAAAATGGCACTGCTTTTGAAACCTGCCAGAATAGTTCATGATAACTGAATCATCCAACCAGCAACAGTTATTGCTTCCAAAAGCACACTGATAAAGTTTCTGTCTCTATAGGGTGTTCTTATAAGATAATTAAAAATAAACATGTAATAATCTTTACAGCACTATTTCATATGCATTGTTTCCTTTGAACTTCACGTTAGTCCTGTGTAACATTTTGTTAAAATATTTTTGTTAAACAGTATTATTTACAGATTTACTGTTTGCCTCATAAATTGTTTGATATTTCTATGCCTCTAGGAAGTTCCATCTCTCTTCTTTACCTATTGATGGGTCTTTATTTTTATAGACAGATTATTTTATTATGACTAAGGAATCAGCAAAGTTGGCTTAGACTGACAAGCCTGAATAAATTCTGATATTAGACTCCAGGCAACTTTAGTTACATGTTAATTCATGTTAGGTTTTTAACATTTTGGCCAATGAACACTTTAAATGTGTTCTCAGCCTTGTTCCAATAATCTGATACTGACAGAAAGACATTATTTAAATATAACTTCTATAAAGAAGTCCTGAAGCAGTGTAATATTACTTGACAACTTATCTGTCACTTACAGAACTTTGTCTTATGTGATCAGAGCTTGTTGGTGCTTTTACATATAATGTCAATGAAGATGGCAGTTATTTTTAATGCATGAATACTAAATAAAAGATTGGTCAGTTTTCTCTGGGAGAAAACATATTTCAGTTCTCTATCACCTGTTTGTATCAATTTATTCACATAAAACTAGAAAGTGAAATACAGTTGACCCTTGAGCAATGCAAAGTTTAGGGGCTTCAACCCTTGTGTAGTCAAACATCCTTGTTCTAACTTTTGACTCCCCCAAACTTAGCTACCAATATCCTACTGTTGCCCAGAAGCTTTACCAATAAACAGTTAATTGATACATATTTTGTGTATTACATGCACTATATACTGTATTCTTATAATGTAAGCAAGAGAAAATGTTATTAAGAAAATCATAAGGAAGAGAAAATATATTTGCTATTCATTAAGTGGAAGTGGATCATAAAGGTCTTCATCCTCATTGTCTTCTTGTTGAGTAGGCTGAGGAGGAGGAGAAAGAGAAGGCGTTAGTCTTTCTGTCTCGGGTGGCAGAGATGAAGAGATGTGGAGCGGGTGGAAGGAGAAGGCAGGAGAGATAGGCACATTTGGTGTACTATTATTGAAAAAAATCCATGTATAAGTGGAATTGTGCCGTTCAGACCTGTATTTTCCAAGAGTTGACTGTGTATAAACGTTATTAGAAAGAAAGAAAACTTTACTTCCTTTCATAAACAACCAACATCCATCCTAAAAACAGTATGTGATACAAAAAGAGACATGAATTTAGAGCTAGAAAACCTGGATTTGAGACTCAGTTTTACCACATTAATGGCTTGATGATTTTGAATAAGTGATTTAGACATTAAATAGCTTCCTTTTTAAAAAATTTGTGAACTGGAAATGACCATACTTTAGAACTCAGCTGAGAGGATTAAGTGAGGAATAATGTATGTGAAATCTTAATGTAGTGAATCAACTGATAATATGCTAAGATAATTACTTAGTAGTTACTATTTAAAAAATAAATTTTGGAGAAAGATATAATAGAAAGCAAAATTTTCCTACTGATTTAAATTGGCAGAGATTTAAGATGAGATTTTCCCCCCATTCTTCTAGAGATCAGTGAAGGAGCTGATTCTTTTACTTTACTTCATATAGCTTGCTATCTATCAAACCAGATTTTAAAATGAAGTGTTTTTATTGTTTTTGTTGTTGTTGTTGTTGCTGTAGTAAATACCCAAGAGGCCTTTTTATGTCTGTGGTTGGAACCATCTTTCAAAGCCAGGCTAACTTATTTGGAGTTAGAATTCCTGAAGGCAAAGAAAACACATCTATACCTTCCCCTTAAAGTTTAAAGAAGTTAGAGAGTGCTTTCCAAAGAGGTGGTATTCTGATAATGACTGATAGGCTATCTCTATATTTGACTTTTTTTGTTTGTTTGAGACAAGAGTCTTGCTCTGTTGCCCAGGCTGGAGTGGAATGGCGCGATCTCGGCTCACTGCAACCTCCGCCTCCCAGATTCAAGCAATTCTCCTGCCTCAGCCTCCCAAGCAGATGGGATTACAGGCACCCGCCACCACGCCCAGCTAATTTTTTGTATTTTTAGTAGAGATGGGGTTTCTCCATGTTGTCCAGGCTGGTCTCGAACTCCTGACCTCAGGTAATCCACCCGCCTCAGTCTCCCAAAGTGCTGGGATTACAGGCATGAGCCACCGCACCTACCCTCTATAGTTGATTTTAATGGAATTACTTGATTTGTTTATAATCCTCCACAATTCATTGTTTATTTGGACAGTGCTTTACTCTGGATAAGTAGACCTACCTTTTTATTTTTCTCCAAGGGGGAAAAATCCTTTATTCTTTACATCTACTCCTTTCACCTTTTCCTGTGGAAAAAAAAATATCTCAAGTATTAGAGCTGTTGCTCCAAAATCAAAAATATGATTAGGATTCAAAAATATCTATTTTTTGAAAAGTATGTTTTTTGAAAAATATATTTTTTCATATATATGAAATATATAAATATACATTTTATGAGAAAAAAATAAGTTGTGAGAAATTATATTGTTTCTGAAATGTTTCCTGAAGCTTTTCCTAGAATTCAGTCTGTATGTGCTTAGATTTTGATGAATAGAAAAGAACTATGAGAAGTATTCCAAATTCCCTGAAACTTAAGGAGTTCCACTCAAAACAGTCAAATAAATCACAGCATATGATGAAGTACCACCATATGGGATACAAATAAGTGTAGTAGATCTTCAGGGATAGAGAGTATGAGTTGGAATAAGAGAAGATCTTGAGTGACTAGAATCTAAGTAAAAAGGAAGGGAGTATGTGTCAGGTGAGAGAAACAGCATGAGTTGTTAAATCCTGAAGTTAATAATAATCAGATAATTTTTAGGGGACAGTGAAGAGACATGTTTATTAGCAGAAAGTACTTATAGTTTGGCAGTGAGGAATACAGTTTGAAACTTTTTGTTTTAATTAATGGGGCTTCCTTATGAATAGCTTTGAAAGTCAGGCTAAGAAATGTATTTGAACATTGTCCTGCAGACAGGAAAATATTTTTGAAGAGAATGACATACAGTTTAAGAATTTGGGTAGGACTCATCTTACTAGTAGTATGTAGGACAACTTAGGGAGAAGGGTAGAAAAGGGAGACCACCTAAGAGGTCATTTCAGTGATGAGGATTTTGATAGTAAGTTCCCGGGTTGGGTGTCAGCAGTGGACAAAAAAAGGATGATTCCAAGAGTCATAACGAACAAACTGTTAACATGAATGTTGGTGGCTTAGCCATGAGGGCTGAAAGAGAAGGACGAGCCAGAGATGACTGAGGAAGTGTTTCTTGGGTGATTAGGAAGATGATATGGAAATAAAATAGAAAAACTGTACTGGTATAGTAATTTTCAACTTGGAAGCTGAAACAAACAAAAACAAAACCCTTTTGGATATCTTGAGGATGAGGCAGTATAGGGCATCAAAGGAGATGCTAGTTTTGCCATATGGGGATGGAGCTTGATGAGAAGGGCCGTGACTGAAGAAGCAGGTTTGAGAGTCATCAGACATCAGGTGTCAGTCGATGCAGAGCTACTGGGGAGCCTATCTATAATTAAATCCAAAGTCCTTACCAACTCATTGAAGATCTTTCTAACCTCATCTCCTACCTTTTTTCCTAACTTACTTGACTCCAATTACACTGGGCTTCTTGCTGTTTCACAAATCCATCTGTGGAATCCCTCCAGCTGTGAGTCTGCACTTAATGTTCATTCTGTGTAACTTACTCTTCCCGAAGGTAATCTGCATTGGCCTCTCATTTCATTAGAGACACCCTTTTAAATTAATCTTTCGAAAATAGTATCACCTCCCGTTCACTTCAACTCGTTGACCTGCCTTATTTTTCTTCATATTGTTTATAAGCACCTACTATGTTATAAATTAATTGTTTTGCTTGTTTATTGTTTGACTACTCATCCCCTCAGTAAAATATAAGCTTTATGGAAAATAGGCACCTTGTTTTGTTCACTGCTATTCAGTGCCTAGGTTACTGGCTGATATACTGTGGGTACCTAACAAATATTGTGTAATTAATGTCTAGATTTACTATGGGAAAAAATGTCAAAAATAAAAGCATAACAGAAAGGTCTGAGCCTTTGGAAGGTAAAGGTCTGAGCCTCTACTTTGGAAGTAGAGGCCCTAAGAAAAACTAATGAATGGTATGGGATGGTAGTAAAACCAGGCAAGTCAGTGTCATGGAGGTCAAGGAAAAGGGACTCAAAGGATAGGGAGCCAAGAACATCAAATGCTGCAAAGAAATGAAAATGAGAACAAGGAAAATATATCTGATAAAAAGGAGACTGCAGTAGAGTGGTGGAAACCAGAATTTAGCTAATTGGTTAAGGCATGGGTAACAAAGGCCAGCCTTGTAGATTATTTTGAGTGATTTACCAGCAAAACGAAGGAGAGGAATGGGGCAGTTAGCGGGAAGAGGAGCAGCATTTAATACAAGTGCTTTAAAGAGTGACTTTGAGGCTGGATGTAGTGGCTCACGCCTGTAATCCTAGCACTTTGGGAAGTGGAGGCGGGCTGATCACCTGAGGTCAGGAGTTTGAGACCAGCCTGGCTAACATGGTGAAACCCCGTCTCTACTAAAAATACAAAAAATTAGCTGGGCGTGGTAGTATGCGCCTGTAATCCCAGTTACTCAGGAGGCTGAGGCAGGAGAATGGCGTGAGCCCAGGAGGCAGAGGTTGCAGTGAGCCGAGATTGTGCCACTGCACTCCATCATGGATGACAAAGCAAGGCTCCATCTCAAAAAAAAAGTGACTTTGAATCTGCATCTTGGTCTTTGTATATGTTTATTGTTTATTTCACTGTGGTATGTATGCACTGATAAGCTACTTTGAAGATACGTGAGTAGAAATTGTCTCATTGGTACAGATGGAAATCTCGAGGCATTTAAGTTGTAAGTTACTTCTAAGTGGGACCTATGCAATTGGTACATATGGACATAAAGATGGAAATAATAGACACTGCGGACTCCAAAAAGGAGAAGGGTGGGACAAGGACCAGAAAACTACCTATTGAGTACTATGTTCATTATTTGGGTGATGAGTTCACTAGAAGCCCATATCTCAGCTTTATACAATACACCCATGTAACAAACCTGCACATCTACTTCATGAATTGAAAATTTTTTTAAAAGCTGTATCACAATCACATCTAATAAAACTAATCTTTAGTATTACCAAGTACAAATTCATATTCAGATTTCCCACTTGTTGCCTAAAACTGGTTTGTTTAGACCAGAATGCATTAAGGAGGACCACGCATTGCATTTGGTTTTTATAAATCTTTTAAGTCCCTACTAGTCCAGCAGAGTATTAGACTACCTTCCTCACCCCTCTTTTGGGTACATTCACTTATTAAAGAGACTACTTCATTTGTCCTGTGAAAGTTCTGTCTTATGGAATTCTCTGATCGTTTCTACGAGGTGTCATTTAACTTTTCCTCTACCTCTGTATTTACTGTAAAAGGAAGTTAGATCTAAGGATTCCATCAGATTCATATTCAGAATTTTTATCAAGATTGTTTCCTTCGTGAGTCTGTGTACTTCATATTGCGTTATGTCAAGAGGTACCTAGTATTTGGTTGACCAGCTCTTAGTAATGCTATCATTGTTCACTGGGTTACGGTGGTGACAGTGTCATCTCTTCATTATAAACTAAGTTTCTCTCATGTGGTTACCAGATAATCTGTGGTTTGACATGTTGGCACTATGCAATATTTAGTCTTAATTAGTTATTTACCAAATGATTTTACCATTGGTGATTTTTGCCTGAATTAATTATTTTATTAGGGGTAGATTATCTTTTAGGTATTTTTTAACATGATTTCAATTAGCCAAGGCACAGATAAATTGGGGCAGTATGTTAGTCATTCTGTTTATTTATTTGAGACCAGCCCTGTTTAGGCATAGTACCAGAAATCAAATAGTATGGACCTTCCCCTAAGGGAATTTTCAATCTAATGTACATTCTTGTTGAATTGTTTAAAAATTTTGTTATCAAATCCCAGTTTCATCATGTTTCAAATATAAATAGCTTTTCTTAAAAATAGACCGGGCACAGTGGCTCACGCCTGTAATCCCAGCACTTTGGTAGGCTGAGGTGGGTGGATCACGAGGTCAAGAGACCGAGACCATCCTGACCAACATGATGAAACCCCATCCCTACTAAAAATACAAAACTTAGCTGGGCCTAGTGGCGCACGCCTGTAGTCCTCGCTACTCCGGAGGCTGAGGCAGGAGAATTGCTTGAAACCCGGGAGGCGGAGGTTGCAGTGAGCCGAGATCGCGCCACTGCACTCCAGCCTGGTGAAAGAGCAAGACTCTGTCTAAAAAAAAAAAAAAAAAAAAAATCTCATAATTATTTTTCAGATTTTACCATGTTATGTAATGAATGGTTAAATATCCTGTGTACATCTGAGTAATTTACTTCTGTTTCATGCATTATGACTATAAATAAACTGCTTATTCTGGTGTATGAGTACAATGGAGTTTTATGCCACTATTAAATATAATGATGTAGATCTTTATTTACTGAAATGGAAAATATCCAAAACATATAATATCATCAATAATGGTCTCATTTTTGTTTCTAAAAAGTGCTTAGAATAGGTCTAAAAATGTATGTATTCAAACACTAATAATGGTTATAACTGAATGGTAGGATTATGAGTATTTTTATTTTGCCTATACTTATGTATGTATTTTTCTGTATTAAGCATGGATGATTTATACAGTGAAAGTAAATCAAGAAATATGTTTGAAAACCATCTTGCCCACACAACAATTTGAATTCAGTAATGTCACCAAACTGTATACTTAAAATGGTTAAAATGGTACATTTCATGTTATGTATATTTTACTACATTTTTAAAAAGCCCATGGCTATTATACTGCAAAAACCAAAATCAAAGCCAAAAAACCAACATGCCTAATTCCTTGAGTCCACTAGATGTTTGCATGCCTCTTATAATTCTTTTAGTAAATGCCTTATGTCATTTTTATATTTTAACTATTGTCTCAAAATGACCACAGTACGTTTATTTGGAATTTCAAGTAGGCAGAAAGTATGCCAAGAACAGTTGTTCCAGAAGACTCTTGAGGTGTATGTTTGTTTAATTAGAGGCAGGATTCGGTGGGCAAACAAGACAGAGAAATGTTGATGGGGAAAATATTGGCTCTGTAAGTGTGCTTTTGGTAAATGGTAGTATCTGTAGTGACCATATTCAAAGAAGAAAAATGTGTTAGGAGAAGTTCACATTAACATATCGTGACTTCAAATTCAACTCAAGTTCATAAATAGTATTTCATGTTAATTCCAAAGTGGTGGTTTATGATAATTAAAATGTCACAATTTGGAATGTGGATGATGAAGTGAAAAACATCTTCTAGAGGGAAATGTAATGTTAGTAATCCAGTCTGACTCCCATTATTTATTGAACCCCTTGTATTATGGAATCAAATGTAAGAACTTTGTCTTCTCTCCTATTTGCTTATGTGGAGAGAGATATGTTGAGTTTGGGTGATAAAACGCAAATGGTTCAGACAAAAATAACTAGCAATGCGGAGCTGGATTGATGTGAGTCTGCAGATCACTTTTCCATTATTAGTAATTGAACTTTTTTTAATCATTAACTTCATTGGTATTGGAGAATGTGAGAGCCAGCAGTGAAAGAACCCAAAGGCTCTCTTGCCTTCCTTTCTGCTATCCTTACCACTTTCTTTCCCTTCAGCTTCTCATTCTAAACCGCCTCCCGTTACTCCTACCTGGAGAAACGAGATGTCAAGGATCAGCATCCTGCTAGGGGATAACCCTCATTCCTGTCCATCCCTATACTGTGGAGAGAACCAGAGGCAAACACATTGGAGCCCTCTCCCGCTCAAACACTGTTATCAGTTGAAACTTATCCTGGATTTGCTTATATGAGAAAAAGTGTCATAGATGGGAGAAGGGCCAAGCACGGGGAAGGTGTAGAGAAGGTATAGAAGAGGGAACAGACATTCCTATGGCTTTGACAGATGATTACTGATTTTTAAGGCATTTTTCCTAGCAGTGTATTCTCTTCAGAAGAGCATGGGATTGGGATTGAGATAGACTTGGAATAAATCCTTATATAATGACTCACAGTTGTGTGTTTTGGGGCAAGTTATTTAGCTTGCCTGAGTCTTGTAAATTTGCTCATTTAGAAAATGGAAGATAATAACACCTTTTAGGTTTTTCCTTTGGATTAAATGAATAACATTTATGCACCACTCTTTGTGCAGTGCTTGGAACGTAGTGATCACTCAACAGTTATCTGCTGCTGGAATGCTCTCTACCAGGACACCTGCCTCACCTAAGTCACCTTCCGCTCATTGGATTAAATGAATCTCTTAAAGGTTGATGTATTGAGTCTTAAATAGGTGTTATGCTTTTTTGCCCCTAGTGAAAACATTAAACAAAAGATAGAAATGCTTTTTGTCCCCTTCAGAGAACCTCCATGGTGTATCATATTTTTAAGACCTGAAAAATAAATTTGGTTTATGGTCATCATAACTCACAGCCAGCATTATTTCATTATGTGATTTAATAAAAAATGGAATCTGGCCGGATGCAGTGGCTCACGCCTGTAATCCCAGCGCTTTGGGAGGCCGAGGTGGGCGGATCATGAGGTCAGGAAATCGAGAGACCATCCTGGCTAACACAGTGAAACCCCGTCTCTACTAAAAATACAAAAAAATTAGCTGGATGTGGTGGTGGCCACCTGTAGTCCCAGCTACTCAGGAGGCTGAGGCAGGAGAATGGCATGAACCCGGGAGGTGGAGCTTGCATGAGCCGAGATTGCGCCACTGCACTCCAGCCTGGGCAACAGAGCGAGACTCCGTCTCAAAAAAAAAAAAAAAAAAGGAATCTATTATTATGCCTTCGTTTTTCACATTGGATGTTATTTTAGAAAGAATAAAATTAGTGTTTAAATGGCTAAAGAGGTTGGTTGAAATTAAACCTTTAAACATTTTAATCTAAACAGATGATCTCTAAAAATTTTTTTTTTGGTGTATGTATTTCTTGGTCTGACATGTTGCAGTCTCTCTAATTGGGTTTCAGGTTTGCAGAGTAATTACAGCTTTGTACAGACTTTGTCATCTGTGGCTCAGAATGGTGTAAAGTAAGCAGAACATTTAAAATTCAGCTTGTGGTTCATGTTGCTCAGTAGAGTTTAACTAGTGTATAACTATCTAATATAAGTAACAGTGTAACAAATAACACTGAGAAGTAGATGTTATAATAAGAGTTAGCTACCTGGCATTTTGTATAAGCACATTTACTTTACTGATGCATATTAAATGATTCTAAAAATCGTAGATAATCATTTGGTTAATAGCTTTTTAGAATCTCTATCCAAAGTTTCTACTTCTGATTTTTAAAATTTAAATTGCCCTACCTTGCGTTGGGAATCTTTACGTAACCAAAAGGCAAATATTCTTCTAAAGAAGTATTGGCTAATCCATTTATTAACCACCATTTCCTTTAAGAATCATGTGTTTCTGATTCCTTATTGCGAACATGCAAGAACTCAAAAGTTTTTCTATTTACTCGATCACTGGTTTTAACATGGTAATTTAGAGTTTTAACTTTTTTGAATTTGGATTCAGCTTTTTAAATTACATTTGTTTTGTACAGCAACAAACCATAAGACATTGTGATATTCTCTTGGTAGTGATCCAACTACCACTTGAACATCTTGGTGTAGAGATGAAATGTGTTTGTAGAGTATTTCATACTGAGACCTAAAAAATATAGGTTTATTTCTATTATACTGTTTATTTGTAATTACACGTAACATTATTTTTGTTGGACTAGAGGGTTCACAGGACCTGATTAAACCCTTTATAGCATAAATGAAATACTACTTTATAATTACATGGGTAGAATGATCAGTAGTATGGTGTGTACCATGAGCTCATAGAGTTTCCTACTCATTTTTGTGTGCCCAGCATTTTGCATAGTGCTTGGCCCATAACTGACATTTCATATATGTCATTTGGTTCATGAATACTTAGCAAGTTTAGTAAGAACAGTGAAGTTGTGCATAACTACTTAGTCATTATGTTACTATTTTAATATTTTTCCAAACCACTCTATACATAAATACAGGTATTTTATTCTTTTCTAAGCCATTCCTTTTCAGTGATCTGCTTGAGAATGGTAATTATAGTAATATCTTTTATTGTTTTTAGCAGCCTTATAAATTATAGTAATTGATATTTGGAATCTTATAACAGCACTTCGAGTAGCTTCTAAAAGTCTAGTGTTGAGAAGTTCTTTAAATTATAGCATTTAAACTTCATTTAGGTATAGTGTTGAAAATATGCTTTTAATTCATGATAGTGCTTTTAAAGATGATAAACCTGAGGGCTTAGATATAAAGTACTTTCAAAAGGATCACACAGCTGATTGTGTTAGAGCCTGGATTTGAATTTCTTTCTGATTGCAGAGTCCATTATCTTAATTACCTTATATCACCATAATGGGAACCTGAAGTAAAACTGAAATAGTGAACCTCAGACCGGGCATTCTTTCTTTGCTTCTGTGCTGTATTTCTCTGTACCCCATAGTATTTCTCTTGGGCACGCCCCTCATTTAAGTGTCTGTCCTCCATTCTTTACGTTTAAAGCCAGCCAATCAGTTGCCCAATCAGGGTATTTATTGTATACTCCTATGTCCTGTCACTGTCCTAGGTGCTATAAGAAGAACTGTGCACACAATTCCTAACTTTTAAGTAATATAGCTAGTGAATTACTGGCTGGAAATTTAATAGGGCTTTTGAAAAGAAGGATATGGGGAGGAACAGTTGGCTTCAAAGAGAATCAGACTGATGGGCAGAGTCAGTCATAGGAATTGGTTGGCTCTTTATTAGTATAAATTAGTATAATGTCTTTGGTATTTTAAAACTTAAGTCTTTCAAATGAACAATATTTTTGCTTATTTTTTGTGGAATATATATTTTGTGTTTTTTAACTTTCATATTTCAAAAAATGTCATGCTGCTATACAAAGTTGAATTGTGATATAATAGATTTTATGACCTATTGATTCTACCACCTTTTCATTGTCTTGCACATCCCCAGGTTCTCACTTTCCTCCATACCCATTTTAAGTTTCTTAGTTGAGTATCATAATCACTCCCTTGCCTTGCATTCTTTATTCTTTTCTGTCTTCTTGCTTTGACAAACTTACTTGGTTAAAGTACAGCCTTGCTTAAATTCATTACTCTATGTTCCTCACCTGTACACATGCAGCTGAATATATCTGGGTATATCTGGGAGAAAATACACAACCATGATCTCTGTTATTAGTTTAAATTCTTCATTATTAAATTCAGGTTGGTCCTTCATCCTTCTCGGCAGTCATGGTTGGTCTCCTTAGCCTATTTGTACTTTGATTTTCCCAGAGTGCTATTTCATATCTTTTTTTCTTCAAAGCCTGATGGATCCTTTTGCAACGTTATTCCCGATGACTTTATATCCTAATTCACTGAAAAAAACAGAAGCAGTGAGAAAATAATTTCTACCAGCTTTTACTTGCTTCTGTACTCCTAATTGCATTTGGGCCCTTATATCTTCTCTTTTATTTTATTACTAAACTATTTATACTCCTGATTAGAGCTACCCCTTTACTTGTCCAGTAAATTTAATCCCTTCTTGCTTATATAGGTACATTGCTTTAGAAATTATCTTTTGGTAGCATCAAAATTACCTTCTTTGTTGGATTATTACTATCAGAATTCATTTGGAAAATGTTTATTGAGTACCTACTATGTGTCTGGCATAGTTCTAAGTGCTAAGAATATATGAATGGAGCTTACAATCTAGTTGAAAAGACAATAAGCAAAAAAGATACTAAAAAACTTCATATCAAATGTTAGAAAATGGTAACATGCTATGGAAAATAAAAAATAGAGCAGGTAAGAGAAGATGGAGGGAGAGTCCTAGGTAAGGGGTGCAGATTGCAGTATTAAATAGGATGTCTAAGAGAGCAGCTGTGCGGGTGTGTGAGGGGGGAAAGAATGTTAGGCAGAGGGCAAAAAGCTCTAAAGCAGAAAGAGTGTAGTGCATTGTTGAGGAAATGCAGGGAAGCCAGGGTGGCTGGCAGAGCAGCCTGAAAGAGAGTACTAAGGAAGTAGGTCAGAAACTTCAGTGGGGTCAGTGGGAGGGTCAGATCACGTAGGACACCTGCTGATCACTTAAAGGCCTTACTCATCTATTCTTAGTGAACTGAAACACTGCAGAACTTTTTTGCAGATCTTCATTTTAAGAAGATTTCTGGCTGCTGTGTTGAGAACAGACTGCAGTGAGGGGCAGGGAAAAGCTATTCTAAGTTTTTTGGAATCATCAGGTGAGAGACAATGATGGCTTAGTCTGAGGTAGTGGAGGTGGTGAGAAGTTATCAGAAGCTGGTTATGTTTTTAAAGTAGAAACACCAAGATTTGCAGGAGGAGTGAATGTGATGTCAGGGAAGAGAGGACTCCAAGGGAATTCTTGGGTTTTCAGCTTGGGCAATTGAAAGGATGGAGGTGTCATGTGAGATAGAGGAAGCCACAGTAGAGGTTGGCAGAAGAAGGAGCAGGGTTGAGAGAGGTCAAGAGTTCACGTTCGGACATGTTCAGATGTCTCCCAGAGCACAGTTTCTGTCTTTAACTTACATAGTCACTCAGCATCTCTAAATAGGAAGAATCTTGTCTTAGGGCAGCCGGGAGGTTTAGGCATTGGGCACACAGAATCTGAAGTAGAATTATAGCAGTGGAAAACCAGTTACGAATGGTCTCCCACTTACAGTAGTTCATGGTAACGATGTCTTACTTTACCGTGCTCCTGACAGCAGTACACACTCAATGGAGATTGTATTTCAAATTTTGGATTTTTGTCTTTTCCTGGGGTAGTGATTTGCTGTGTGATACTCCCTAGTGATGCTGGGCAGCAGCAGCAAATCACAGCTTGCAGTCAGCCACGTGATCACAACATGCACAGTAGATACTCTACAGTGTACTGTGTTGCCAGCATTTTTCTGGATGCTCTTAGTTTTTGTGTTTTCTCATCTCATCATGTCGACAAAACACCCATCTATGTGTAATATTCAATACTTTACTACAAAACAGGCTTTGTGTTGGATGATTTTTGTCCAACTCTAGGCTAATGGAAGTGTTCTGAGCATGTTTCAAGTAGGTTAGGCTAATCTATGATGTTGGGTAGTCTAGGTGTATTAAATGCATTTTTGCCTTATAATATTTCTGACTTACGATGGTTGTATTGGAATGTAACACAGTCATAAGTCGAGGAGCACCTGTAATGACAAATAGTACCAGTATCAAAAAGGAAGATCAGTTTATGTTTCAGCCTGGGTGATGGAAAATTATGAAAGCCAGGAGGAGGAATGAATTTTAGGGGGAAAATACTGAGTTTGGTTTTAGGGGTGGTCCAGTAATTCAACCAGGTAGAAATATTCACTATGTGTTTAGACACGTGTGTCTTAAAGTAGAACTGCAAGGTGAAAAAAGTTTGGATTTTGATATTGGTAAACTGAGAGATGATTGCTGAAAACATGTAAACTGTTAGAAAACTAAGCAGAGACCCTTGGGTGAATGATTTCTCTCAGTGTAAAGGGCCAATAAAGAGCTAATCTGGGGCTGGATACGGTGGATCAAGCCCGTAATCCCAGCACTTTGGGAGGCCGAGGCGGGCGGATCACTTGAGGTCAGGAGTTCGAGATCAGCTTGGCCAACATGGTGAAACCCCATCTCTACTAAAATTAGAAAAATAAGCTGGGCATGGTGGTGCACGCCTGTAATCACAGCAACTTGGGTGGCTGAGGCATGACAATCACTTGAACCCAGCAGGCAGAGGTTACGGTGAGCCGAGATCGCGCCACTGCACTCCAGCCTGGGTGACAGAGCGAGACTGTCTCAAACAAACAAACAAACAAAAACACAGCTAATCTGAGTAAAGAATTGGAACTATAAAGAGATAGAAATGGCAGTTGATAGTTGCTAATGATGGAGATAGGACACAGCAGATAAGCACTGAGAAAAGACTTGAAGTTTTCAACGGAGATAAATTAGTTTCTTCCAAAAGAGCAGAGTCAGCAGACAACCCTACCCTATTTTTTCTTGGTGTCCAATACCATTTATCCTTTAAAGCCCAGCTCAGATGTATGCCAAATAATAGTTAATGTTTGTTGAAAGCTTATAGGTCTCATATTATGCTAATATTAGATGAACTTATTATTAATTCCTACATCAATTCTATGATGTAGATACTGTTTCCCACTTAACTGTTGAAGACTAGCGAGTTTAATTAATTTGTCCAAGTTTGTGTAGTTAATGGTACGAAAAAATAATTGAATCTACGCACACCAGTGTCAGAGAATCCATACTTTAGGCTCATGTTTGTTGACATCTTCCTAGTTATTCAGTAACAGAATTTAATCATGTTTAGAGTGACTGGCTCTTGGGGCAGTGGATACTAAGAGTTACAGGCAGTTTATATTGTCAAAAAGCTTATAATCTAGGTAAGGATAAGTGATATTTGTCATTTTCTTAAAATGATAAGTAATACTGTAAGATAGTCTATGGTAAGTGACACATGAGGGATATGGTAATAAGTAAAGAGAATAGAGAGGATGAAATGGTCAGTCTAGGGCGAGGTGTTATGGAAGGTTTCATGGAAGGAATAATATTTGATCTGGACCTTCAAGGATCAGTACTATTGTGACTGCAGGTGATGCATATGGATAGAGGTAAAATAAGTGAGGAAAGTATTTCAGATAGCAAGAACAGCTGGAGCAAAGGCATAAATAAATGAAAGAGTTAAGATGTGTGTTTGGGGAAAATTATATAGTCCAGTTGAGGTGGTTAATGTGGCCAGAATGGGTGAAGGATTGGAAAGGAAGACTAAGGTCAGGCTGTAAATAATCTTGAGTGGAGAACCATAGAAAGCTGTGAGTTCGCACTGGGTTTTGTTTAAAATAGAACTCTGTAGTTCTCAATTATTTACTTCTTGTTTTAAATATATCCATATTTAAAGAAACATTTTATTTTATTCTTAGAATGCCAGTTAATGAAAACAGAACGACCAAAGCCAAACACATTTATAATCAGATGTCTCCAGTGGACTACTGTTATAGAGAGAACATTTCATGTAGATACTCCAGAGGAAAGGTAAGAAATTCACTTGTTTTCATTTTGTGAAAAAGCAACACTCAATCTAAAGATGTATTTGTATCTGACTTTATTATTTGTAAATATATATAAATATATTTTTTTAAATGCTATAGTCTCTAAATTCTTGCTTCTGGCATAATACATGAATAACAGTGGCTTACAAAATAATATTTAATATATCAGAACCTCTGGGCATGCTAGAAGATATACTTTCAGAGAAACAGAACATTTAAAGGTTAAAATATAAATTTAAAAAGACATTTTTGGCCTGGCGCGGTGGCTCACGCCTGTAATCCCAGCACTCTGGGAGGCTGAGGCAGGTGGATCACAAGGTCAGGAGATCGAGACTATCCTGGCTGACAAGGTGAAACCCTGTCGCTACTAAAAAAACACACACACAAAAAATCAGCCAGGCGTGGTGGCGGGCGCCTGTAGTCCCAGCTACTCAGGAGGCTGAGGCAGGAGAATGGCATGAACCCAGGAGGTGGAGCTTGCAGTGAGCCGAGATTGCGCCACTGCACTCCAGCCTGGGCGACAGAGCGAGACTCTGTCTCAAAAAAAAAAAAAAAAAAAAAAAAAAAAAGACATTTTTATAGCCAAACTACCTTTTTTAAAAAATTGTATAATTGATTGTATTCATACTTGAAATTCCAAGGCTAGTGATAGTAAAAGATTTCAAGTAACATGCCATTCTAAATTAGTTGTAAGTGGCTGTCTGGAGCACTAAGTTGCTAAGGATTCTGAGATTGGGTCTAAGGAGCGGGAGAGAGGATTAATTAGCATTGACTGTCATTATTACTAAAGTGGGTAGTGACAACACTGTAGTAACCAACTCATCAACTTCATCAGGTCCACATTTTTATCCTCCTGATCTATCAGTTTTTACAACCACTTCCCAATTCTATATCTGCTCACTCTGATACTGAGTTAGGTCCAGTGACCACAGTCACAAAACCACCATCCTGCACATGTTATTATATTTGATCCTAATCAGCAACTTTGTGAAGTTAAATCTTATTAGCCTTATTTTCCAAATGAATACACAAAGTTTTAACAGTCTTGTCTAAAATTTTAATAAAAGCAAAATGGTAAAGTATTATTTTAATAACACTTTTGATCAGTAGAGTAAATGGTAATGTATGATTGATTAAGAAATATAGAAAAGAGTTAAGCACTGATAATATTTTCTTTTGTGCACTTCCAATCTTACTATGTGCAGACGTAATTAGGCCTTTCATATAGATACAGTTCTGGGTATGGGTCCCCGAACTCTTACCCTGCCTGCACACCCTCCCCTCCCTGCACTGCCTCCCTCCCCGCACACCCTCCCCTCCCCACCATTGATCCTGGGCCTTTTCTCCCTTGATAATTAATACTGAGCTTTCAATTTGTTGATATGTCCACCCATAATCCATAATCACTAAGTTGGGCTAATTCCTATGTATCTTTTCAGATCTGAGCTTAAAATGTTATTTTTCCTACAAAACCTCTGACTCTAATAGACTAGGCAGGTTCCCCTGCTAGGTACTTAGATATTTTTCTTTGTACCTTTTCTATCAATCATATTATAACTGTAATCCTTGTTTGCCATTCTCACTAAACTTGAAGATTCTTGACAGCAAAGATGATGGCTTCCTTGCTCATTTAAAACATCTTTTGCACATAGTCCATGGCCCAACACAGTATTTATTGACTGGCTGGATGAATGGTACTTTTCCCATGTCAATATATATTCTTTGAAAATGTTATTCTTAGTGGATTTTTAACATCTGTTGAAGCACAATTCATTTTGCCATTTGTGTTTACAAAGCTGGATTTCTGTCAGATCTTAAGACTCTAAAATCCTCTGCTGTTCCTGTAATAATATACTACTCTTCTGAACAATCAGTTTTCATTTGCATTTATAACTATAAGAAAAAACAGTATTAATACAAATGAAAAACAGCATACTCATATTTGCCATTGGTATGTGCATTTCTATATACCTCTAGAATCTGGTGTTTGGACATTCTATATGACTTGATTTTTTTTTCTAAATTTTTATTTTATTTTATTTATTATTATTATACTTTAAGTTTCAGGGTACATGTGCACAATGTGCAGGTTAGTTACATATGTATACATGTGCCATGCTGGTGCGCTGCACCCACTAACTCGTCATCTAGCATTAGATATATCTCCCAATGCTATCCCTCCCCCCTCCCCCCACCCCACAACAGTCCCCAGAGTGTGATGTTCCCCTTCCTGTGTCCATGTGTTCTCATTGTTCAGTTCCCACCTATGAGTGAGAATATGTGGTGTTTGGTTTTTTGTCCTTGCGATAGTTTACTGAGAATGATGATTTCCAATTTCATCCATGTCCCTACAAAGGACATGAACTCATCATTTTTTATGGCTGCATAGTATTCCATGGTGTATTTATGCCACATTTTCTTCATCCAGTCTATCATTGTTGGACATTTGGGTTGGTTCCAAGTCTTTGCTATTGTGAATAGTGCCACAATAAACATACATGTGCATGTGTCTTTATAGCAGCATGATTTATAGTCCTTTGGGTATATACCCAGTTATGGGATGGCTGGGTCAAATGGTATTTCTAGTTCTAGGTCCCTGAGGAATGGCCACACTGACTTCCACAATGGTTGAACTAGTTTACAGTCCCACCAACAGTGTAAAAGTGTTCCTATTTCTCCACATCCTCTCCAGCACCTGTTGTTTCCTGACTTTTTAATGATTGCCATTCTAACTGGTGTGAGATGGTATCTCATTGTGGTTTTGATTTGCATTTCTCTGATGGCCAGTGATGGTGAGCATTTTTTCATGTGTTTTTTGGCTGCATAAATGTCTTCTTTTGAGAAGTGTCTGTTCATGTCCTTCGCCCACTTTTTGATGGGGTTGTTTGTTTTTTTCTTGTAAATTTGTTTGAGTTCATTGTAGATTCTGGATATTAGCTCTTTGTCAGATGAGTAGGTTGTGAAAATTTTCTCCCATTTTGTAGGTTGCCTGTTCACTCTGATGGTAGTTTCTTTTGCTGTGCAGAAGCTCTTTAGTTTAATTAGATCCCATTTGTCAATTTTGGCTTTTGTTGCCATTGCTTTTTGTGTTTTAGACATGAAGTCCTTGCCCTTGCCTATGTCCTGAATGGTAATGCCTAGGTTTTCTTCTAGGGTTTTTATGGTTTTAGGTCTAACGTTTAAGTCTTTAATCCATCTTGAATTGATTTTTGTATAAGGTGTAAGGAAGGGATCCAGTTTCAGCTTTCTACATATGGCTAGCCAGTTTTCCCAGCACCATTTATTAAATAGGGAATCCTTTCCCCATTGCTTGTTTTTCTCAGGTTTGTCAAAGATCAGATAGTTGTAGATATGCGTCATTTCTGAGGGCCCTGTTCTGTTCCATTGATCTATATCTCTGTTTTGGTACCAGTACCATGCTGTTTTGGTTACTGTAGCCTTGTAGTGTAGTTTGAAGTCAGGTAGCATGATGCCTCCAGCTTTGTTCTTTTGGCTTAGGATTGACTTGGCAATGCAGGCTCTTTTTTGGTTCCATATGTACTTTAAAGTAGTTTTTTCCAATTCTGTGAAGAAAGTCATTGGTAGCTTGATGGGGATGGCATTGAATCTGTAAATTACCTTGGGCAGTATGGCCGTTTTCACGATATTGATTCTTCCTACCCATGAGCATGGAATGTTCTTCCATTTGTTTGTATCCTCTTTTATTTCTTTGAGCAGTGTTTTGTAGTTCTCCTTGAAGAGGTCCTTCACATCCCTTGTAAGTTGGATTCCTAGGTATTTTATTCTCTTTGAAGCAGTTGTGAATGGGAGTTCACTCATGATTTGGCTCTCTGTCTGTTGTTGGTGTATAAGAATGCTTGTGATTTCTGTACATTGATTTTGTATCCTGAGACTTTGCTGAAGTTGCTTATCAGCTTAAGGAGATTTTGGGCTGAGACAGTGGGGTTTTCTAGATATACAATCATGTCATCTGCAAACAGGGACAATTTGACTTCCTCTTTTCCTGATTGAATACCCTTTATTTCCTTCTTCTGCCTAATTGCCCTGGCCACAACTTCCAACACTATGTTGAACAGGAGTGGTGAGAGAGGGCATCCCTGTCTTGTGCCAGTTTTCAAAGAGAATGCTTCCAGTTTTTGCCCATTCAGTATGATATTGGCTGTGGGTTTGTTATAGATAGCTCTTATTATTTTGAGATACATCCCATCAATACCTAATTTATTGAGAGTTGTTAGCATGAAGGGTTGTTGAATTTTGTCAAAGGCCTTTTCTGCATCTATTGAGATAATCATGTGGTTTTTTTCTTTGGTTCTGTTTATATGCTGGATTACGTTTATTGATTTGCGTATATTGAACCAGCCTTGCATCCCAGGGATGAAGCCCACTTGATCATGGTGGATAAGCTTTTTGATGTGCTGCTGGATTCGATATCACCACAGATCCCACAGAAATACAAACTACCCTCAGAGAATACTACAAACACCTCTACGCAAATAAACTAGAAAATCTAGAAGAAATGGATAAATTCCTCGACACATACACTCTCCCAAGACTAAACCAGGAAGAAGTTGAATCTCTGAATAGACCAATAACAGGAGCTGAAATTGTGGCAATAATCAATAGCTTACCAACGAAAAAGAGTCCAGGACCAGATGGATTCACAGCCGAATTCTACCAGAGGTACAAGGAGGAACTGGTACCATTCCTTCTGAAACTATTCCAATCAATAGAAAAAGAGGGAATCCTCCCTAACTCATTTTATGAGGCCAGCATCATCCTGATACCAAAGCCTGGCAGAGACACAACCAAAAAAGAGAATTTTAGACCAATATCCTTGATGAACATTGATACAAAAATCCTCAATAAAATAGTGGCAAACTGAATCTATATGACTTTAGTGTAATATCATTGAAGACTTAGAGAGGGTTAGTGTGAGTTAGAAAAACTCTCTATTTTTAATATTCTGCCCAGTCTAAAATTTTTACCTGTCATAAACTAAATCTGTATATCTCTCACCTGTCTTATATTTATTTCAGTACATGATATAAGGGTGGACTCTATTTTTTTCTCAATGGCGAGCCCATCATCTCATCTCCATTTATTAGATAATCCATTTTTTTCTCACTGATTGTGGATAACACATATACATATTTGCGCTTTTAGGATTTAGTCTTTTTTTCCCCTTTGACCTTTCTGTACTCTAGCATTAACACCACATGGCCTTAATTAGAGAAACTATAAAATTTTTAACTGTTAATATAGCAACATATCCCTTATTTTTTTTAACAAAAATGTTCTTAGCTACATTAGTGCATTCTTTTAAAAAATTATGGTAAAAATTACATAATGTGAAATCCTCTTTCATTTTTAAGGGTATAATAGAGTATTGTTAACTATGTGCATATTATTGTACAGCAGATCTCTAGAACGTTTTCATCTGGCATGACTGAACCTCTGTTCCCATTGAACAGTAGCTCTCCATTCCCATACCCCCAGCCCCTGGAAACCACCGTTCTACTTTCTGCTTCTGTGAATTCGACTACTTTAGACACATCACATAAGTGGAATCATACAGTGTTTGTCCTGTTACTGTCTTACTTCCCTTAGTATAATGTCTTCAAAGTTAATCCATGTTACAGCATATTAGAGGATTTTCTTCTTTTTTAAGGCTGAATAATATTCCATTGTATGTATATAACACAATTGCCTTCTTTCTTTTTTTTTTGAGACAAGGTCTTGCTCTGTCAGCCAGGCTGTAGTGCAGTGGTGTGATCATGGCTTACTGCAGCCTGGAACTCAGGCCCAAGGGATCCTCCCAGCTTAGCCTCCCCAGTAGCTGGGACTACAGCCACACACGCAACTAAGTTAATTTTTTTTTTTTTTTTTTTTTGTAGAGACAAGGTTTCTCTGTGTTGCCAGGGCTTGTCTGGAACTCCTGGCCTCAAGCAATACTCCTCCCTCGGCTGGAATTACAGGCATGAGCCACACTGCCGGCCAATACATTTTCTTTATTCATTCATCTGCTGATGGATATTTAGATTGTTTCCACCTCTTGGCTATTGCGAATAGTGCAACAATGAGCATGAGAGGGCAGATATTTGTTTAAGTTCCTCATTTCACTTTGTTTGAATAAATATCCAGAAATGTGATTGCTGGTTCATTTGGTAGTTCTACTTTTAAGTTTTTGAAGAATCTTCATACTGTTTTCTGTAGCAGCTACGTTATTTTACATTCCCAACAATAGTGTACAAGGTTTTAATTTCTCCACATCCTTGCTGACACTTACTTATTTATTTTTTATGTTGTTGTTTTTTTAAAAACAACAGCCATACTAGCAGGTGTAAGGTGATATTTCATCGTGGTTTTGATTTGTACTTCCCTGATAATTTGTAATGCTAAGCATTTTTCAAATACCTGTGTATCATTTGTATGTCTACTTTGAAGAAATGTCTATTCAAGTCTTTTGCCAAGTTTTTACTTGTGTTTCTGTTTTTTGTTTTCGCTACTGAGTTATAGGAGTTCCCTATACATTTTGAATATTAAGCCCTTATCAGACATATGGTTTGGAAATATATTCTCTCATTCTGTAGTTTTCTGTTTTGTTCTGTTGTTTGCTGTGCAGAAGCTTTTTATTTTGATATACTTCTACTCATCTATTACTGCTTTTGTCAGCATCAAGAAATCATTTCTAAAGACCAAATTATGAAGCTTTTCTCCTGTGGTTTTTTCCTAGGAGTTTGTAGTTTCATGTCTTATATTTATTCTTTGATCCATTTTGAGTTGGTTTTGTGTGTGGTGTAAAATAAGGCTCCACTTTTGTTCTTTTGCATGTTGATACCCAGTTTTCTCAGCAGCATTATATTTCCACATTGTGTTAGTTGTGACGCCCTTGTCAAAGATCATTTGACTGTATATATATATGGTTTTATTACCTGGGCTCTCTGTTCTGTTCCATTAGTCTATATGTCTTTATGCCAGTACCAATCTGTTTTAATTACTGAAGCTTTAGAATGCATTTTGAAGTCAGGAGGTATGAAGCCCTCAGCTTTTTGCTTTCTCAAGATTGTTTCAGCTGTTTGGGATTCTTTATGGTTTCCATACGAATTTTAGGATTTTTTTTTTCTGTTTCCGCAAAAATGCTGTAGGATTTTGAAAAGGATTGCATTGAATCTGTAGCTTACTTTGTGGTGTTGACATCTTAACAATATTAAACCTTTCAGTGCATGAACATGGGATGTCTTTCCATTTATTTGTGTCTCCTTTCATTTCTTTCAGCAATGTTTTGTAGTTTTCAGTGTACAAATCTTTCACCTTCTTGGTTAAGTTTATTCCTAAAGTACTTTATTCTTTTTTATGCTTTTGTAAATGGGATTTGCCTTAGTCCCTTTGGGCTGCTACAACAAACTATCATAAACTGAGTAGCTTATAAACAATAGAAATTTATTTCTTACAGTTCTGGAGGCCAGGTGTTTAAGTTCAAGGTGCTGGCAAATTCAGTGTCTAGAGAGGGCCCTCTTCACGGTTCATAGAAGGTGTCTTTCCCCTGTATTGTCACCTAGTAAAAGTGCCAAAGGAACTCTCTGAGGACTTTTCTATAAATGCACTAATTTAATCTATGAGTTCTATCATGACCTCATGAAGGCCCACTTCCTAATACCATCACCTTTGGGGTTAAGTAACCCAAAACATTTATTCTTTGTAGACCTAGTATCTGCAGACAATAACAATTTTATCTCTTCATTTCTGATAGTTTTATGTATTATTTCTGTGTGTTTTAAAGCAATGTTTAATAATTTTGATCATAGCACATATACCTTTTTTCTTAATTTATTGGATACACCACTAATTTACTGTTAAATATGATTTGTATATGTACTTTATTATGCTGCACATGACCATCCACAATATAGACAAAGGTCATTTTTCTTTCTTAACAGCTAACTACTTTCACTGTCACAACCATGGCCACGACACTCACACTCACATACAGAGACACATGTGCATGCGCACACGTATGCCTCGCCCCCAACATGTTCCAGATACATTGAACTCCTTGTTGTTTCCCAAGTACTAATGCTATACTGTGCTCTTACATTACCTGTAGCTCTTTCCTTCTTGCCCTTTTGTCCCTACTGCTAGGAACACCTCGTATCCTTTGCTTGTCTCTTGCTCATCCTGGTAAGTACCAATTCATTTTTCACATCTACATTCAAGAATTACCTTTCTTTTTGGGTCCCCATCACAAACTTTTATTATTGTTAGAACACCACTGTACTTAGCGTATACTTGTATCATTTTACCCATAACATTTTATTATACTTCCCCACAATACCAAGGCTCCCCCATCAGACTGTAAGTTCTTCCTAAGCCATTCCTTTTTTAAACTTTAGTAGCACACATGTATTAGACATTTAATTAAATATTTATTAGTAAGTAACTAATCAGTTGGTGAAAATTGATTTTTGTATGAAGTAGTATATGTACTTTTAAAAGATTAATGTACTTGTTTCATAGGGGTCTCCATTCTGTTTTTCAAATTAATTACATTTTTAAACATTATTTAGGAATAAAAAGATTGGATGCCCTCTTTCAATTAGTCAGGTACTTTGGCCTGATACTTTTTTGCAGGAATTACCCCCCCACACCCCCCCGCCACACCCTCACCAAATGGTGTAGGGTTATAGTTTAAGTATCATGAATTATGGTGAATTATGTAATTTGGGTCAGTAGTCCAGCTAACTACCACTAGTGAAGCTGGAAAAGACTTTTGTTTGTTTTTGTTTTTTAAAAAGACACCAGAGAGCTGATAAGGCTAAGATTTATTGGGCCAAAACTGTATTGAAGAAAGAAACCCAGACAGTGAACCTACTTTTCCTTTTGGGTTACCTGCTAGTTCTTGAAGTGGTATTGGAGATGGAGAGATTTTGAGTAGCTCCCAGAGCTGGGAGTGATATTTTGGAATCTAGGATCTGCCAAAGAGGAGACATGGTAAACCACTACATTTTGGTATTGGTAGCTTAAAGGACTGTACCCTGTAAGAAAGAGTAAACTGGAAATAGATTTGCTTTGAGAGGATTGACATATAACTATAAATTATTTCAGTCCTGAAATTGAGTGAAGGTGATTCAACTTTGCTAGTTTTCTAGGAGCTTGCTAAAAGCAAATGTAAACTCACTCTAACAGAAGATTATATCTTCCTAGACCTCACATTACCTCAGTTTTCATGTGTTGTGTCCAGGACTTGTTAAAAAATGAGTACACAAAAATTCAACACTATGTGGCCAAAATAATAGAGGAAAAAAAAACAGACAATAGAATCATATTCATAGGAACTCTAGATAAAAGAACTATACATTAATTAGTATGTTCAAGTATGTTAAAATTGTTTGATTCTACAGAGGGAAAGTATAAAAAAGAAACAAATGGATAATAGCTTTCATTTGTAATCAAGGTAAAATTAAAAAGAAAGAGCCCCATAGAAATTCTAAAATTGAAAACAAAACATTTGGAATTATGAGTTCTAGCAGATGGCTTTAATAGCAAACTAGACCTCACATTAGAGAAAATTAGCGAACTCAAAAATACGTCAGAACAGAACGTTTATAGTGAAACATGCAAAGATAAGAGGATAGAAAATAAAAATAATTAAGAATAGAATGTAAGATAAAAACAATGCGGTGAGCATGTCTTACATATATATAACTGGAGCCTTAGAAGGAGAGGAGAGAATAGAGCAAAAAGTATTTGAAAATATAATGATTGAAATTTTTTAAAAAATAGTTAAAGATACCAAACCATAGTTTCAAAAGTCCTATAAATCTCAAGTAGGAAAAATATGAAGAAAATCCCTAATCTCATTAGACTATTAAAAAACAAAGATAGTGGGAAAATCCCCAATGTAGACAGAGAAAAAAATGTTTGCTTTCAGAGCAGCAGCATGTAGACCAAAAGATAATGTCAATATGTGGGATGGAATAATAATGAAATATAATTGAATAATGTTCCCAAATAATGGAATATTTCCAAAGATGATGAAATGATATCCCCAAAGTTCTGAAAGAAAATGAGTGCTAAGAAACAACTATTTTCCATGAATAAAAGTAAAATGAAAATATTTTCAGTAAAAAATTGAAAGAGGCTGGGCATTGTGTCTTATGCCTATAATCCCAGCACCTTGGAAGGCTGAGGCAGGAGGATCACTTGAGCCCAGGAGCTCAAGACCAGCCTGGGCAACATAGTGAGATCCTGTCTCTACTCCCTTCACCCTCCAATAATTTGATAAGATTTGTCACTAGCACACCTATAATAACTAACCTAGTATTCTTTGGACACAATAAGAATAATCTCAGGAGGATAAGTACAGAATGGAATGAAAAACAAAATGCTTAAATAAACCAATAAATAAAAGTAAGCATTGATTTTTAAATAATTTATGTTGTGTTTTAATTATATAAGTGAAAAATATCTGAAGTAATATAAATTGAGATCCTGACAAAAATGGAGTTAATTTTTTGTGAGGTTGCTGTATTTTCTGGTAAGAGTTAAAAGTATGGACATTTTAGACTTTGCAAAGTCAAAGTTAAATATTATAATTTAAGTTACAATTACTAAAAAGACAGTGAGAGTATGATGGCTACCAGGCTAATTGGAGGAGAAATGGAATTAGAAATTATTCTGGCATATATTACATAAGTGGACCATGTAAAGCTAAGGATATATATAAAAATAATTGCAAAAAAAGACGACTGAAAAGCCAACAGGAAAATTAAAATGGAATTCTGAAAAAGTGCAAAATAATTTAAAAAACAGGCAGGAAAGGAGAAAAAGATAAAGATACAGGTTGAAAATAAATAGATTGAAAAAGATTGATCATGGAAACAGTAAGCATAAGAAGAATGGATTGCCGTATTATATCATTTCAAATTAAATGTATTACCATAGATTACTAGGATACTTTATAATGAGAAAAGTTTCTGTTGAACAGGATGATATAGCAGTCATCAACACATGTAACAGAATTAAAGGGATAAAAATGGGCAATTTCACAACCATATTTGGAGATTTAAAAATTCTCAGCACTTGGTAGAGGAGCTACACAAAAAACTAGCTAAGGCATAGAATAACATTGTCAACCACCTTGATATACCTAGTATTTATAGAACACTACACTCAAAAGTGGCAGAAGAGACGTTATTTTCAAGTAAGCATGGTACATTGATCAGGATGGAACATATTCTTATCAGGATAATGCAGTCCTCATAAAATGAGTTAGGGAGGATTCCCTCTTTTTCTATTGTTTGGAATAGTTTCAGAAGGAATGGGACCAGCTCCTCTTTGTACCTCTGGTAGAATTCAGCTGTGAATCCATCTGGTCCTGGACTTTTTGTGGTTGGTAGGCTGTTAATTGCTGCCTGAATTTCAGAACTTGTTGTTGGTCTATTCAGGGATTCAACTTCTCCTTGGTTTAGTCTTGGGAGGTTGTATGTGTCCAGGAATTTATCCATTTCTTCTAGATTTTCTAGTTTATTTGCATAGAGATGTTTATAGTATTCTCTGATGGTAGTTTGTATTTCTGTGGGATTGACGGTGATATCCCCTTTATCATTTTTTATTGTGTCTATTTGATTTTTCTCTCTTCTTTATTAGTCTGGCTAGAGGTCTATCTATTTTGTTGATCTTTTCAAAAAACCAGCTCCTGGATTCATTGATTTTTTTTTTGAAGGGTTTTTTCATGTCTCTTTCTCCCACTATTATTGTGTGGGAGTCTAAGTCTCTTTGTAGGTCTCTAAGAACTTGCTTTATGAATCTGGGTGCTCCTGTGTTGGATGCGTCTATATTTAGGATAGTTAGCTCTTTTTGTTGCATCGATCCCTTTACCATTATGTAATGCCTTTCTTTGTCTCTTATGATCTTTGTTGGTTTAAAGTCTGTTTTATCAGAGATTAGGATTGCAACTCCTGCTTTTTTTTTTTTTTTTTTTTTTGCTTTCTATTTGCTTGGTAAATATTCCTTCTTCCCTTTATTTTGAGCCTGTGTGTGTCTTTGCATGAGAGATGGATCTCCTGAATACAGCACATTGATGGATCTTGACTCTTTATCCAATTTGCCAGTCTGTGTCTTGTCATTGGGGCATTTAGCCCATTTACATTTAAGGTTAGTATTGTCACATGTGAATTTGATGCTTTATGATGCTAGCTGGTTAGTTTGACCATTAGTTGATGCAGTTTCTTCATAGTGTTGATGGTCTTTTCAATTTAGCATGTTTTTGCAGTGGCTGGTATCAGTTGTTCCTTTGCGTGTTTAGTGCCCTGTAGTGGTGACAAAACCTCTCAGCATTTGCTTGTCTGTAAAGCATTCTATTTCTCCTTCACTTACGAAGCTTAGTTTGGCTGGATATGAAATTCTGGGTTGAAAATTCTTTTCTTGCCTGTAATTCCAGCACTATGGGAGGCCAAGGCGGGTGGATCACCTGAGGTCAGGAGTTCGAGATCAGCCTGGCCAACATGGCAAAACCCCAACTCTACCAGAAATACAAAAAAATTAGCCAAGCATGGGGGCAGACACCTGTACTCCTAGCTACTTGGGATTCTGAGGCAGACAATCTCTTGAACCCAGGAGGCAGAGGTTGCAGTGAGCCAAGATTGCACTACTGCACTGCAGCCTGGGTGACAGAGTGAGACTCCGTCTCAGAAAAAAAAAAAAAAAAAGAATTCTTTTCTCTAAGGATGTTGAGTATTGGCCCCCACTCTCTTCTGGCTTGTAGGGTTTCTGCAGAGAGATCCGCTGTTAGTCTGATGAGCTTCCCTTTGTGGGAAACCCTACCTTTCTCTCTGGCTGCCCTCAACATTTTTTCCTACATTTTGACTTTGGTGAAACCTGGCAGAGACGCAACAAAAAAGGAAAATGTCAGGCCAGTATCCCTGATGAACATCTATGCAAAAATCCTCAGTAAAATACTGGCAAACTGAATCCAGCAGCACATCAGAAAGCTTATCCACCACGATCAAGTCAGCTTCATCCCTGGGATGCAAGGCTGGTGCAACATACACAAATCAATAAACGTAATCCATCACATAAACAGAACCAATGACAAAAACCACATGATTATCTCAATAGATGCAGAAAAGGCTTTCAACAAAACTCAACTCCCCTTCATGCTAAAAACTCTCAATAAACTAAGTATCGATGGAATGTATCTCAAAATAATAACAGCTATTTAAGACAAACTTACAGCAAATATCATACTGAATGGGCAAAAACTGGAAGCATTCCCTTTGAAAACTGGCACAATACAAGGATGCCCCCTCTCACCACTCCTATTCAACATAGTATTGAAAGTTCTGGCCAGGGAAATCAGGTAAGAGAAAGAAATAAAGGATATTCAAATAGGAAGAGAGGAAGTCAAATTGTCTCTGTTTGCAGATGACATGATCGTATGTTTAGAAAACCCCGTTGTCTCAGCCCCAAATCTCCTTAAGCTGATATGCAACTTCGGCAAAGTCTCAGGATACAAAATCAAGGTGCAAAAATCACAAGCATTCCTATACACCAATAATAAACAGCCAAACCATGAGTGAACTCCCATTCACAATTGCTGCAAAGAGCTTAAAGTACCTAGGAATCCAAATTACAAGGTATGTGAAGGACCTCTTCAAGGAGAACTACAAACCACTGCTCAAGGAAATAAGAGGACACAAACAAATGGAAAAACAACCCGTGCTCATGGATAGGAAGAATCAATATCAAGAAAATGGTCATACTGCCCAAAGTAATTTATAGGTTCAGTGCTATCCCCATCAAGCTACCATTGACTTTTTTCACAGAACTGGAAAAAACTACTTTAAACTTCATATGGAACCAAAAAATAGCCCGCATAGCCAAGACAATCCTGAGCAAAAAGAACAAAGCTGGAGGCATCATGCTGCCTGACTTCAAACTATACTACAAGGCTACAGTAACAAAAACAGCATGCTACTAGTACCAAAACAGAGATACAGACCAATGGAACAGAACAGAGGCCTCAGAAATAATACCACACATCTACAACCATCTGATCTTTGATAAACCTGACAAAAAGCAATGGGGAAAGGATCCCCTATTTAATAAATGGTGTTGGGAAAACTGGCTAGCCATATGCAGAAAACTGAAACTGACCCCTTACTGACACCTTATACAAAAATCAACCCAAGATGGATTAAAGACTTAAATGTAAGACCTAAAACCATAAAAACCCTAGAAGAAAACCTAGGCAGTACCATTCAGGACATAGGCATGGGCAAAGACTTCATGTCTAAAACACCAAAAGCAATGGCAACAAAAGCGAAAATTGACAAATGGGATTTAATTAAACTAAAGAGCTTCTGCACAGCAAAAGAAACTATCATCAGAGAGAACAGGCAGCCTACAGAATGGGAGAAAATTTTTGCAATCTATTCGTCTGACAAAGGGCTAATATCCAGAATCTACAAAGAACTTAAACAAATTTATAAGAAGAAAACAACCCCATCAAAAAGTGGGCAAAGGATATGAACAGACACTTCTCAAAAGACATTTATGCAGCCAACAAATGTATGAAAAAATGCTCATCATCACTGGTCATTAGAGAAATGCAAATCAAAACACAATGAGATACCATCTCACACCAGTTAGAATGGCAATCATTAAAAAGTCAGGAAACAACAGATGCTGGAGAGGATATGGAGAAATAGGAATGCTATTACACTATTGGTGGGAGTGTAAATTAGTTCAACCATTGTGGAAGACAGTGTGGCCATTCCTCAAGGATCTAGAACTAGAAATACCATTTGACCTAGCAATCCCATTAGTGGGTATATACCCAAAGGATTATAAATCATTCTACCATAAAGACACATGCACACGTATGTTTATTGCGGCACTATTCACAATAGCAAAGACTTGGAACCAACCCAAATGTCCATCAGTGATAGACGGGATAAAAAAAGTGTGGTACATATACACCATGGAATACTATGCAGCCATAAAAAAGGATGAGTTCATGTCCTTTGCAGGCACATGGATGAAGCTGGAAACCATCATTCTCAACCAACTATCACAAGAATAGAAAACCAAACATCCCATGTTCTCATTCATAAGTGGGAGTTGAACAATGAGAACACATGGACACAGGGAGGGGAACATCACATACTGGGGCCTGTCAGGGAGTTGGGGGCTAGGGGAGGGATAGCATTAGCAGAAATAACCTAATATAGGTGACGGATTGATGGGCACAGCAAACCGCCATGACACATGTATACCCATGTAAGAAAACTGCACATTCTGCACATGTACCCCAGAACTTAAAGTGTGTATGTATGTGTGTATGTGTATATATATATACACATAACATATATATATACACACACACACACCCAACATACACACACACACACACACACACACACACACACACACACACACACATATACACATAACATATTCTTGGTCATAAAATAATTCTGAGTACATTTTGGAAGATGAAAGTTATATGGTGTATGTTCTGTAATCCACAGAATTAATTAGAAATCAATAACAGTAAGACAATAGATGTCAATTACTGGAAATTAACATAATTTTTTATAATCATTGGGTCAAAAAACTCACAAGAGCCATTAGAAAATAATTTTAAATGAACAATAATGAAAATAATACATATCAAAATTTGTGGGGTGTAGCTAAATGAATGCTTAGAAGGAAATTTGTAGCCTTAAATACCTGTATTTGAAAAGAAGAAATTTCTCACATCGTTAACTTAAGCTTGTATCTTAAGAAACCAGAAAAATAAACCAAAAGAAAACAGAAACAACAGCAATCAGAAATTAGTGAAATAGAAAACAGAAAAATAGTAGAGAATAATTAATAAAACCAAAAGTACTCTTTGAAAAAAATTAATAGAATTGAAAAACGTTTTGGGGTATTGTTAAAGGAAAAAGAGGGAAGACACAAATTACTGACATCCAAGAAAACATTAGAAAACCCAATATCAATGAATGGAAGTGAATTAGTAATTAAGAACCTTTCCTCAAAGGTTCCAAGCCCAGACAGCCTTATTGGTGCGTTCTGTCAAACATTTAAGTTAGAAATTTGACCAATCCTCTACAAGCTGTTTGAGAAAATAATGAGAAGGGAGTACTTCTCAACTTATTTTATAAGGCCACTGTCACCCTCATTTCAGAAATCAGACAGAACTATTTTAAGAAAAGACAACTATAGCCCAATACACTTGTGAACATATGCAGAATTTCTTAACAAAGTATCAACAAATTAAACAATAGGTAAAAAGCATAAAAGCTTAAGTTATGTGGCCAAATGGAGCTTCTCCCAAGAATTCAAAGTTGTGTTAACATCTGGAAACTATTAAGCTAATTTCACCATATTAATATGATAAAGTTAAAAATCTGTGTGATCATTTTATAGAGATACAGAAAAAGAATTTGACAGTTTTATTTTCTTTTTCTTTTCTTTTCTTTTTTTTTTTTTTAGACGGAGTCTTGCTCTGTCACCCTCACTGGAGTGCCATGGTGTGATTTCAGCTCACTGCAACCTCCATTTCCTGGGTTCAAGTGATTCTCATGTCTCAGTCTCCCGAGTAGCTGGGATTACAGGCTCCTGCCAGCACATCCAGCTAATTTTTGTATTTTTTGTAGAGACGAGGTTTCACCATGTTGGCCAGGCTGGTCTTGAACTCCTGACCTCAGGTAATCCGCCCACCTCAGTCTCCCAAAGTGCTGGGATCACAGGCATGAGCCACTGCACCTGGCCTACATTTGACAAAAATTCAACAAACTTTCATTAAAAATATGCAGATGGCTAGAAATAGAATAGAACTTAGTTGATTAAGTAAATGTTATATAGAAGATCTACAACTTACATAATATTCAAGGGGGATGAAAACAATGTTATTCCTAACTTGTGAAACAAAGCATGTATGCTGCTGTTTACTTTCATTTAACTTTGTACTGCAGGTCTGATCTAGGGCAATAAAGCAAGAAAAAGATGTAAAAAGCATACGGATTGGAAACAAGTAAAGCTGCTCTTGTTTGCATACCACATGGTTGCATGTGTAGAAAATGCAGAAAAATAAGAGTGACTGGAACTAATAAATGAATTTAATAAAGTTGCAGTATACAAAGTCAATATACAAAAATCAATTGTATTTTTAAATACTAATAAGTACAATTAGAAAGTGAAATAAAACCCTCCACAATAGCATAAAAGAACAGTCTTGTGTCACTTAATGACAGTGATACGTTTTGAGAAACATGTCATTAGGAACATTGTGTAAACATACTACTTGGACAAACCTAGATGGTATAGCCCACCCCATACCTAGGCTATTTGGTGTAGCCTGTTGCTCACAGTTTACAAACCTGTACAGCATGTTAGTGTACTGAATACTATAGACAATTGTAATGCAATGGTAAGTATTTATGTATCTAAACATATAAGCATAGGAAGGGTACAGTAAAAATACAGTGTAATAATCTTAGGGGACTGCCATCGTATATGCAGTCCATCATTGACTGAAACATTGTTATGTGGTGCATGATTGTATGTAGGAATAAATTCAGTTAAAGATGTGAAAGATCTTTACACAGAAAATTACAAACATTGCATTGGGAAATTAAAGACCTGTATAAATGTAGAGCTATACCATGTTCATGGATTGGAAGATTTAAATGATTACGATGGTAGTTTTCCCAAAATTCATCTATAGATTTAATGTAATTCCAGTCAAAATCCAAATAGACTTTAAGAAGTAGACAAGCTGATTTTAAAATTCACATGGAAAAATAATGATCCTTGGTCTGATAACCAAATGTCAAAAAATAAATGCTTGATATAAATGCTCCTGAGACTGATTGTTCAAACTACAAGCTGTATCCTTTTTTTTAATTTTTTCTAAGAAATTTACTATGATCTGGAAACAATGAAAGGTTTTGGCTTTGAAAACCTTTCCTTGGAATGTCTGTTGGACCTCATAGAAATCTTCAGGATGTCAATGATGGACTTAAAATAGCTAAGCAAAACACTTCTAAAAACTGCAGCAAACTTTTAGGGGGTCAACTTAATAGTTAGGATTGGCCAAGTGCGGTGGTTCATGGCTGTAATCCCAGCACTTTGGGAGGCCATGGCGGATGGATCACTTGAGGTCAGGAGTTCGAGACCAGCCTGGCCAACATGGTGAAACCCCGTCTCTACTAAAAATACAAAAATTAGTCAGGCATTGTGTCACACGCCTGTAATCCCGGCTACTCAGGAGGCTGAGACAGGAGAATCACTTGAACCCACGAGGTGGAGGTTGCAGTGAGCTGAGATCATGCTATTGAACTCCAGCTTGGGCAACAGAGTGAGACCGTTTCCAAAAAAAAAAAAGTAGGATATATATATGTACAGACAAATAAAATTTAACTTTTCATGTAAATGATTTTAACTCGAGTTTTCAACAATTTTTTTCTTCTCTTTTTTTCTTTAACATACTTCCAAAAAATGCTACTACAGACTTTAGGCATGTGGTGAATGAAATGCTCTTAGGATTATTTTCACTTTGGGGTGATGGTGAGAGTGTATGCTTATCTGTGTTGAGTGTGTTTGATCTCTGAATAGATTTTATTTGTATTGATTTCATAGTTTATAAAAGGAAAATATTTAAATCATTTACCATCTTCTATTAATGGGAAATTTTACTCATTTTTATAGGGAAGAATGGACAGAAGCTATCCAGGCTGTAGCAGACAGACTGCAGAGGCAAGAAGAGGAGAGAATGAATTGTAGTCCAACTTCACAAATTGATAATATAGGAGAGGAAGAGATGGATGCCTCTACAACCCATCATAAAAGAAAGGTAGAAAATAATAACTTATTCCCAGCACAGCATTCATTTGTCTGGAAGAAACATATTAAAAGCTACCATTTGCAGAAAGATGTCAGCCAGTTTTCTTACGATATGTAAATATATTGGTGGGTCTTATTCACATGAATCTGAAATACCTGTTGTTGTTTAAAACCAAATAGGTGAACATTGTTTCAGTGATCCAGCACTTTAGCACTGAATGCTGATAGGGCTCATGTGTGACTGATGTGCCATCACACTACTTTATAATTTGCATTTTTTCCTTATTATTTTTAATACAATTTTAGAAACTTTGTAATAAAATGTTTTCCCTGATGATTTGTTCTTTTCCATTTCGCATTTCGTATTCTCCCGAAAAGCACGAGCAGTAATGGCTCGGATGTACTTCCTGATTGGTGCCCTCAGTCATAGTAAAGTCAGCAGGAAAGTGAACAATCTTGGAAACAATAACTCTTATTTAATGGCTGCTTCTGAGTCAGTAGGGAAATAGACTTTTCCTTCTCTCAGTGTTCCAGCATAATAAGTACGAATTTATATTTTTATGAGCAATATAAATTTTTTCATTGCAATAGAAAATTGAAAAGCAATTTCCTTATTACAAAAATGATATTTTCATGATTAAAGATAGAGGTGTTGAGATAAGCTTGCCATTTATCACTTTAGAATATGTTTGATTTAATAGGTTGTAAATTAATCTTCAGGGAGGAAAACACAAATTTTCAAGGTATTATCCATGAAATTTGGTATTAGCACAGTGATTAAGAACTCTTTGGAGATAGACTGCCTGAGTTCATATCCTCCCTTTTCCACGTTAAACTTGTGGACTTGGTGAAGTTACACACTCACAACATAAAGTTAATTATCCTTTCCTTATGTGAATAAGAATAATATTCTATACTTGATCTGGGCCAAATGTCTGAGATCCCTTTCTGTCTTCATTGTAGATTTCTACTCTGTTTGTTTGTTGAACTGAATCCCTCTTTTCTTTTACGTCAATTTAATCTGCCTTGTTCCTCCATCATTGCAAAAAGAAAAACAAAGTCTAGCTACACCCACCTACCTACTCAGAGATAAGAAAGCTTCTTTTGTACATGTGTAAATTATTTCATTTAAAATGAAATGAAGAATAGTGTAAATCTGATATGGTTAAGTATTTGAACCCCAAATTCAAAATACCTCTATGGATTTTTCTTTTTGGAGACTCAGTTGGAGTAAAAAATTCTAAGAGAAGATGTTTTAGAGTGATGTTTATGTTTAATTATCTTTATGTGGACAAAGAATAGTAGCTAACTTTAATAGCTAATATTTATTGAGCACGTATTACATAAACACTTTAAACATTTTTTTTTTCATTTTGAACTTCAACTATAAGTTAAGTACCATTATTATTCCTGTTTTATAGTTAAGGGAAATAAAGGATGGAAGGATTAAGAAATTTTCCCCTTAATTACACACAGGGTGGGAGCCAGTACTTAACCCCAGGCAGTAAGATCTGAACTCCTCCCTTTCTAGCACTAGGTTGTGATAGTAAAGTTCTACTGGTTTTTTCAAGAATTTACAAGCTTTATTATCAATTGAAATTAACTAATATCCAAATGTCATATAAGGACAACAGTTTTTCATAATATTTTGAGAAACAGAGTATAGTCATAAGAGAATATCTGCATAATTTTGTTTCTAATATAACTTCATTATAAGCATAAAAATTATAGAGATTAGAGAGGCTCAAGATATATGAACCAAGAAAAAGAAATAAGCTGTATATTGACGTGTTACAGTATACAATTAAAAGATCTTATATGTTTGAAGTTCTGTTAACTTTTTTGAAATAATTTAAAATAGTTCTAAATTACTGCAGAAGTTAGTGCAGAAAAAGAACATTTGTACCACTACTAACTCCATAACGGTCCTAATGACTTAGCCTCAAGTGGTAAAATATTACTGTCATTTTCATAAGATAAATGATTCTAGAACTATACCCTTATGTATATCAATTATCATGCAAAGAATTGCAGAAGTTTGGATTATTTTTAAGACTATAACCACACATTGTGAAATAAGAATATTATTCTAATAATTTATAGGATACATTTCCTTCTTTAATTTTTGCCAAATGGCAATAGGATTAAAAGAATAGGTACTGATTATGATGGCTATGGTGACAGTTGTCAGACTGCTATTTCTTGCATGAAATAGGGTTCGTTACCTCCCTTAGTGGTGGATTATCGCCACAGTGTCTGCTCTGCCAGTTAAAAACTCAATTGGAAAGGAAGGATGTTGGGTGTAAAGAGGCAAGGGCCTCACAGACAGATTTAAGTGCTCTTCTTTGTTTGAATTAAAAGAAAATGTGGTTCTATGTTTTAATTAAAAGATAGCGTTTCAGAGGAATTTGCTTAGAGAACCCAGAAGTGCCTAATCTTGGTCAGCCAAGCTACCATTCTTGTATGCCTTGTCAAGTATGTGAAGGGGCATAGCATAAAAGGATAAAAAGCCAAGTGAGAGTCAAAATTCTGCTTAATTTTTAACAGACTAGCATAAGCTTCTCTGGGATCAACTGGCTATAATCTCATGATTTACGTTTAAAGTATAAGCAGTGCCTCCTGCTTTCCCACTAAGTTTGACTCCAGTTCTTGGGATTGTATCACCTAATTCCTGGCTGTAGTAACTCATACCAGTGGCCAGTATCCAGAGAAAAAGAGAAGGAAAAAAAGAACAATGGCCAGACCTGCTGAAATCTCATGATCTCACACTGCATGAATCTGCTTATTTAAAAGGGAGAAGCGACGTAACCAATGTAGAAGTTGACTAATAACATTAGCTCCACCTCTTCCCGTGAGAAAGAGCACCAGGAGAAGTGGGCAGAGATGGAGGCAAAGGAGTGAACTTCGTCAGAGCTCTTTTCCTCTTTCTACTTACTTGGTTTTGCTGTTACATTGTAAATGTATCTGGAATTTATCTTTTTTTGACCAAATATGCTAATACTGTGGTATTCTTGGAAGTTCTTTATGTTCCTCATTGATTATATGTTTATTTTTAATCTAATTTGTGGGCTAGACAGTGTCTTATATTCTGGTGTGCCTGATTTGAACACATTTATTAAGCATTTGTTATATATGCCCATGTATCTCTTTACCTAAAACAGCCACGTAAACATGTAAAGGGAAGAGTGTAACTGTAAAGTATTTCCCCAATAAATTCTTAAGATCAGGCTTTGGAGGAGGATTATTTTTCTGGAGAGTATTCATACTCCTATATTTTTATTAAAGACTTACTGTGGCTGGGCGTGGTGGCTCACGCCTGTAATCCCAGCACTTTGGGAGGCCAAGGTGGGCGGATCACAAGGTCAGGAGATCGAGACCATCCTGGCTAACACGGTGAAACCCCGTCTCTACTAAAAATACAAAAAATTAACCAGGCGTGGTGGCGGGCGCCTGTAGTCCCAGCTACTCGGGAGGCTGAGGCAGGAGAATGTCGTGATCTCAGGAGGCAGAGCTTGCAGTGAGCCGAGATCGTGCCACTGCACTCTAGCCTGGGCGACAGAGCGAGACTCCGTCTCAAAACAAACAAACAAACAAAAAAAAGGACTTACTGTATCTTTTTCCATAACATCATCCAGAAGACCAAAACATTTTGTAATAGTGTACATTTCATTTGTAAAGACTACACAATTACTGTGTATACCATTCTGACCATGAGCATTTGATAGCAAAAATACCTTTTTAATTTCCTGAAGTTCTGTCAAAATAGATGGGAAATCTGTTTCTGATTTTATCACATACAGTGCTTTTTAACTAATAGTAATTTCCATGTAAATTCCCTTTTTTTTAAAGATTGAGAGTCAAACTGACAAGCTGTGAAGTTCAGTGAAGGCTGTCATACTTTTTTTTTAGCCTCATTGTTCCTAAGAATTGCAATTTTACTATTTACTTATTTATTTATTTTCATTTGAGACAAGGTCTCACTCCTATCACTTAGGCTGGAGTGCAGTGGCACAATCGTGACTCACTGCAGCCTTAACTTCACAGGCTCAGGTAATTCTCCCAACTCAGCCTCCCAGGTAGCTGGGACTACAGACACCTGCCACTGCACTTGGCTAATTTTTGTATTTTTTTGTAGAGACAGGGTTTTGCCATGTTGCCCAGGCTGGTCTCAAACTCATGCACTCAAGTGATCCACCTGCCTTGGTCTTTCAAATTGTGGGATTACAGGTGTGAGCCACCACGCCCAGCCAAGAATAAGGATTGCAATTCTTAAGGAATATAGTAATATTTTATAATTAAATATTGTTTTCAACTGAAAATGTCATAAAGCATTTTACAGATTGTTTTCTAATTTTTACCCCCCAATAATTCAATTTCATTTTCTATGATATTTAATAATAAGGCACAGCAAGTATTATTTTCTAGTGCTTTTAAATAAAAAAATGAGGAACATACTGTCCAAATGAAACTTTGAGCAATAAATTGACACTCTGGCCTGGTTATGAAAATAATGTTTCTGAGTTACTTGCCATGTGTATTAGGGTTCTCTAGAGGGACAGAATTAATAATATATATATATATATGTGTGTATATATGTATGTGTGTGTGTGTGCGTGTGTGTGTGTGTGTATATATATATATATACACACACACATATATATGGAGTTTATTAAGGAGTATTAAACACACGATCACAAGGTTCCACAATAGGCCATCTGCAAACTGAGGAGCAAGGAAGCCAGTTTGAGTCCCAGTGCTGAAGAACTTGGAGTTGATGTTCGAGGGCAGGAAGCCTCCAGCACAGCAGAAAGACGTAGGCTGGGAGGCTAAGCCAGTCTAGCCTTTTCATGTTTTTCTGCCTGCTTTATATTCTAGCCACACTGGCAGCTGATTAGATGGTGCCCACCCGGCTTAAGGGTGGGTATGCCTTTCCCAGCCCACTGACTCAAATATTAATCTCCTTTGGCAACACCCTCACAGATACACCCAGGATCAATATTTTGCATCTTTCAATACAATCAAATTGACACTCAGTATTAACCCTCACGCTGTGGAACAAACTACCTCAAATTTAATGTCTTAAAACAATAGCCATGTAAATATCTCATGATTTTGTAGTTTGGGCCACTCTGTTGGTCTTGCATGCATGGCTCTCAATCAGCTGCCTACAGCTTATACATGGGTGGGCTGGAAAATCCAACAAAACCTTCCTTATGTGTCTGGGGCCTTGGTGCTGACTGTTGGCTATGGTGTCTTGGTTCTCCTCCACTTGGTCTCTCTCTCGGAGTGGTAATTTATCTTCCAGGGTCTCTCCACATGGCCTCTCTCTCCAGCAGGATAATATGGACTAACTGACAGCATTAGAGCTGGCTTTCTAGAGCTTTCCAAGAGAGAGAACGCATAAACTGCCAGGCTTAAAGGCTTTGTCTGTTACTGGCATAGTATCAGTTTGATCATATTCTGTGTTCAAAGCAAGATACAGGGTTAGCCCGGGGAGAGAGAAAGTTGACTCCACCCCTTCATGGGAAGAGTGGAATGTGCATACAGGGAGAAATGGGAATTTGTGGCAGCCATCTTTGCAGACTACCTAGCACAAATAGCTTGTTATGTAGTATTCCCTGATTTTTTCTGCTCTATTAATGCAATTAAATCTAATATTACCTGTTATTTGTTCAAATGACACTAGCTGATTTACTATATTTGATATTTAGAGCTACATGTTTGATTTTTAGTTGAATTAATATATCTTATTATTTTCCCTGCTATCTCTTTGCTACTTTATCTTTGAACTAGAGATATTATTGAATGTAAGACACTTTAATTTGACATTTGGGGAAAATTATAAAAAATATGAGCAGCAAAAAATGTTGAAAGTGAACGTAGGCATTTCTAAAATTTTAAGAATTTTTATGTAATATACATGAGAGATATTGGGATGTAGTTTTCTTGCATTGTTTTCCTCTCATTTTGGTATTGTCAAAAAATTGGGGTTCAGCCTGGGAGACCACATGGGTTCTTGGCTTCACACAAGAAGGAATTCAAGAGCAAACAACAGAATAAAGTGAAAGCAAGTTTATTAAGAAAGTAAAAGAATGAAAGGGTGGCTACTCCATAGGCAGAGCAGCCCTGATGGCTACTGGTTGGCTATTTTTGTGGTTATTTTTTAATCATATGCTAAACAAGGGGTGGATTACTCCTGAGTTTTCTGGTGAAGGGGCAGGGAATTCCCAGAACTGACAGTTTCCCCCGTTTTCAGACCATACAGGGTAACTTCCCGATATGTCATGGCATTTGTAAACTGTCATGGCACTGATGGGAGGTTCCTTTGGCATGATAATATATTATAATGAATGTATAATGAGCAGTGGGGACAACCGGAGGTCACTTTCATCACCATCTTGGTTTTGGTGGGTTTTGACTGGCTTCTTTACTGTATCCTGTTTTACCAGCAGGGTCTTTGTGACCTGCATCTTGTGAAAGGAGACCTGCCAAACTCCTATCTCAGTATCAGGATGATGCTTGTCTCAGAATGAATGAGAAGTATTCCTCATTTTAATTTTCAGAAAGAATTTGTATAAAATTGGTGTCATTTCTTGTTTAAATGTCTGTAGAATTCACCAGTGAAACCATCTGGGCCTGGAGTTTTCTTTGATGAAAGGTATTTAACCACAGACTCAATTTTTCTTAATAAATATGGGGTTATCAAGTTATCTGTTTCTTTCAAAGAAAGAGCTTTCAAAGCTTGAGACTTTCAAGCAATTTGTTCATTTCATCAAAGGTGTCAATTTTATTGTCAAAATGCCATTTATAATAGTCTCTTACGTTTCTTTTAATATCTGTAGAATCTGTAGTGATGCCACCTCTGTCATTCCTGATATTGGTAATTTGTGTCTTCTCTATTTTTCTGACCAACCTGGCCAGAGGCTTATCAATTTTTATTGATCTTTTAGAACTAGCTTTTGGTTTCACTGATTTTTTCTCTACTCTTTTTCTTTCTTTTAAAAATTTAATTGATTTCTGCTCTGATCTGTATCATTTTCTTCTAACTCTTTTGGGTTAACTTGCTTTTTTTTTAAGTTTGTTAAGGTGGAAACTGAAACAATTGATTTGAAATATTTCTCACGTTTACTTTAGATAAATGATAAACAGAAAAAAAAAGTTATAAAAGGCACTAAAATTTTCAGTGACTTGTAATTTCAAGATAAAACCCAAATACTTATTTGATATTTATAAACCTCTAAACTGAGTTTAAATTTATGTAAACTGATCATATACAATTACCTTCTCTTCTCTTCAAAAACCTATTAATATGAAAGTAAAGGAATTTCAAAAGGAGGCAAGTCCACAAAAATGAAAAGCTGGGTCGGGGAGGGGCATTAGGGCACAAATGCCTTCAAAAGTTTGGAAGTTTCTGGAAGAATGTTGATAGAGCAGAGCAGGAAAAGAGTACATAGAGGGGACTGTAGAGAACAAGTGGCACGTGTGACTGGCAAAATCCTCAGGATTACCTGACTTAAGAAAGAGAAGTGAAACTGAAAACAGGCACATTAATTAAAGATATTCTTCTTAGAGCTCCCTTCCTTGCTGTTCTGAATTGCATAAAGTACTCTCTCAGGAATAACAACTGCTTTCTTTGATTTATTTTAACTGAAGTATACGAGGTTCTCGACATTTCTTATAAATATATCCTATATCTCTCTCTTTCTTGGATTTTATCTTTATTTTGCTAGAGTAAATTCTCAGATAGCTCCTTCCAAAGCACTGCTTTTTTAGGCATATTTGGAAATGTTTGTGTGGAACATTTTTGATTATCACATTTTCTGGGGGTAGCAGCACTACTAAATCCTTGAAAACTTGAGTCCTTAAAAATGAGTGAAAATAATTTTTTTCCTCCTTTGCCCTTTTACACAACTGATAATTTCGCTGAGGAATTCTAGGTTCAAAATCATTTTCTCCAACATCTGAGAACTGCTTAAATTATTTTCAGCATCCATGGTTGCTAATGAGACAGCCAATGCCAGTCTGATTCTTTTTCATTTAAATGTGCTTATAAATTGGTAAAATTTGGTTTTGAGTGGATATTGCAAACACATATATATATGCTAACAAATAAATTGCATCAAATACTTCATATTATATTTTTTAATTTGTATTTTTCAGACAATGAATGATTTTGACTATTTGAAACTACTAGGTAAAGGCACTTTTGGGAAAGTTATTTTGGTTCGAGAGAAGGCAAGTGGAAAATACTATGCTATGAAGATTCTGAAGAAAGAAGTCATTATTGCAAAGGTAACTGATTTATTAAAGTTGATTACTAAATTTTTGTTTGCAGTGTGCATGTGTTTGTGGGCTCATGAATTTACATGCTAATGTATGCAAATTCCATTAAACAACCAAAATATGGTTGTAGACTACTGCTACAGTAATTTTTGTGTATTAATATTTGTAATTTTTAAAGTTTTCAGACATTCATAATATTTGTATATTATATACTAAAGCTATTCTCTTAAGGAAATAGAAATGTTTATGTTTGCATGTTTGGGAGAATGTTTTGTGATCTATATCATAATTATACTAGGATTGCTTTTTAATAATTTCTCCTATCGTTCTGAATTTCTTATTAAGATTGACTAGTGTAGATGATTTTTACTCATAAATTCTAAAGCTTATATAACATTGAATGGAAAAACATCCTAAATAGATTTGAAAATACTAGAATGGTGAAATTAAAATAAATTATTTTAGGAAGACTTACTTCCCACCCCCATACCTTTATTCAGCTTAGACCTTTTTAAATAAATAACATGTTAATGATGTCAGTTCTCACTCAGAGTTCTGAACAAAATCCCAATTCCCTCAGGAGATACACTTTACAAATTGGTCCATGCTTTAAGTCTTACTTAATTCAACAAATGACATAAATTACTGTTATACTTTATGGACTACTTCAACTTCCAGTTATTTGCTACTATAGTTTCCTCATCTGGAGTGTATTGCCCCTTACACTTTGTGAAACTTTGTTTCCCTGTCTTTGTACATTTGTTTTGACCTCAACTCCTTTACAAGTCAATGCCCCTATTGGAAAGAACATTGGCTTTGGAATCATACACACCTAGGTTCACTACTCACCTAATAGTCTTTAACAACCAGTACTTTTTAAAGCAGTACTTTGGGGAAGTACTGGTCTCTTAGGGGCATTTGGAAATGTTTATGGGGGGCACATATTTGCTTATCACAGTAACTGAGGAGGAGGGGTACTTCTGACAGTTACCAGGTAGAAGCCGAATGTGCTCAATATCTTGCAGTGTGTTGGGCAACCAATCAGAGCCTTAGTTTTTTTCATTTAAATTGGTATAATAAAACCTCTGGACAGGAATATTTTGAGGATTGGGATATGTAAGGTATTTAGCATCCTAGCTGGCACTTATTATTAATTAAGCTGATATTTTCTGGGAGGTAGTATAATGTCAGGTAGGTTTTGCTGCTTAGTAAGTGATCCAACTTTTTATGCCTTTATTTTCTTATCTACAGAGTGGGGCTAATAGTAGTACCTGCCTCATATGGTTATTTTCAGGGTTAAATGAATAGATAAATATAATAGTACATGCCATCAGTATTAAATAAACTTAACAAATTAAATTACAAATCAAATGAAATTAAAATATGCTATTGTTATAAATATTTGCTATAATTATTATTACTATTATTACTACCTACTGTGTATTATTACTACCTACTGTGTATCAAGCATCAGTAAATATCTATTCCATTCTGTTTTTTCTTTTATATATTAGCCTCACTTGTATCCCATTATTTAATTTCTGTTCATCAGACTGGGGAATATCCTATTAGACACTGTCTTATCTCACTACTTACACTTTTCTGAGTAACTGTACAGAACTACGTATATTTCACAAATGATAGACTATTCTGATTGAAGTAGTGCCTTGCTGCTTTCTCCCAACAAATCTATTTATCGTTTCTTGAAAGAAAATATGCTCATTTATAGCAAGATGATTAACACTATGAAGATTTGGAGTGTGACAAGACCTGGGGTTTGGTTCCTGCTGTGCCCTTCTCAGAGCAACATATCAGGGAAGAAATGATTTTGATATCTTTTTACTGGTGATGTTAATTTTGATTGCTTGACTACAGTGGTGTCTACTGTGTTTCTTCACTTTAAAGTTGCTATTTTTTCCATTCATAAGTAATCAGTATCTTAGAGGAAATACTCTGGGACTATATAAATAACCTATTTTTTCTTAAACTTTTAGGTACTAATTTTAACACCCATATCAGTGGATTTTGCCCATAATAATTATTACTGTTGTGTTCTAATGGTGATTTTCTATTTCCCTCATTCCTTATACATTTATTCTTAGTTAAGCTAAGGGTTTATCAATTTTGTTAATCTTTTCAAAGAACCAACTTTTGGCTTTGTTGACTTTTCTTTGTTTTATCTGTCTTTGCTTTAATCTTTATTTTTTTTTCCTACTGCTTGCTTTGGGTTAATTTATTTTTTTCCTAGTTCCTTAAGTTATAAAGTTAGATTGTTGATTTGCAATCTCTCTTATTTAGTATAAGCATTTATGGCTTTAAATTTCTCCCTTAGCACTGTTTTTGTGGCATCCCATAAATTTTAGTCTGTCGTATTTTTGTTTTCATTCATCTCAAAGTATTTCTAATTTCCTTTGTCATTGATTGTGTCTGTTGTTTAATTTCTACAAATTTGGGAATTTTCTTGTTTTCTTTATATTCTAACTTCATGTTGTAGTTGGAGAAGATACTTTGTATTTGTCTTTTAAAGTTTATTGAGACTTTATTTGTAATCCAACATATGATCTATCCTGGAGAACGTCCCCTATGCACTTGAAAAGACTGTAGATTCTGTTGTTAGGTAGAGTATTTTGTGTATATTTAATAGAGCATTTTGTGTATATGTCTTAGATTTAGTTGCTTTATTGAGTTGTCGAAGTCTTCCGTTGCCTTACTTCTTTCTTTCTGGTTGTTGTATTCATCATTGAGAGTGTAGGGTATTGAAATCTCCAACTATTATTGTAAAATGGTCATTGCTTTCTGCAGTTCTTTCAATTTTTGCCTCATATATTTTGATGGTCTTGTTATTAGGTATGTAAGTGTTTATTATTGTTATATCTTGCTGTATTAACTTTTATTAATAATATCTTTTTTTGGTGTTTTCTGGCCTTTTCATTTAAAGTCTATTTTGTCTGATATTAATATAGCCACCCCTTTTCTCTTTTGGTTACTATGGCAGTACCCCCTTTAGCTGCAGTTTTGCTTTTCATGGTTTGAGTTACCCCCAATCAACCACAGCCTAAATATAGATGAGTATAGTAAAATAAGATATTTTGAGAGAGAGACCATATGCATCACAATAACTTGTATCACAATATATTGTTATAAGTTTTCTATTTTATTATTGTTGTTAATTTACTTTTAATAGTAGCTGTTAATCTACTTTTAATATCCATTTATAAAGGATGTGCCTAATTTACAAATTAAACTTTATCTTAGGTAGTATGTGTAGGAAAAAAACACAGTATATGCAGTTGGCTCTCTGTATTCCATATCCATGGATTCAACCAATGTGGATTTAAAATACTCAAAAATAATAATACAAGAATAAAAATATTAAAAATTAAAAAACCAATGTATTGTAACAGCTATTTACATAACATTTACATTATATCTGATATGATAACTAATCTAGAGATGATTTAAAGTATATGGGAAGATGTGCATAGATTATATGCAAATACTATGCTATTTGATACTAGGGAAGTGAGCATTTGTGGATTTTGTTATCTGCAGGGGGATTTTGAAACCAATCCCCCATGGATATCAAGGAATGACTTTATAGAGTTTGGTACTATCCATGGTTTTAGGCAAATACCAGGGTCTCAAAACATATCCTCCACTAATAAGGGGAACTGCTATATTTTCATGTAATAATTTTTTCTCTTTCACTTTTACCCAGTTTGTGGCTTTTGGAGACAGCATGGAATTGGATCATTCTTATTGTTTGTTTAATCGACTTTCCCAATCTCTTTCTTTTGATTGGAGAGTTTAGTCCATTTATGTTTAAAGTGAGTCGTGATAAGGACTGACTTCGGTCCTTTTGCTATTTATTTTCTATATGCCTCATTGCTTTTTGTCCCTCCTTTTCTACATAAATGCCTTCTTTTGTGTTTAATTGATTTTTTAGTGAAACATTTTAATTCTCTTGTCATTTCCTGTTGTGTATATTCTATAGCTATTTTCTTTGTATAGGTTATATTTAATATCCTGAAGTTATAGTACTGTAATTTAAATTTATACCACCTTAACTTTAATAACCCTCAAAAACTCCACTTCTTTACAATTCTGTCCTTACTCCTTTCAATTGTTGGTGTCTTTAAATTGCATCTTTATGCATTGTGTGTCCAAAAACAAGACTACTAATTTTTTAATGTATGAGTCTCTTTAATCATGTAGAAAGCAAAAAGTGGTATTACAACACAAACTTACAGTAATACTAGCTTTTATATTTTTTTGTGTATTTAGCTTTACCAGATCTTTAATTCTTCATCTGACTTTAAGTGACTGTCTAATGTCCTTATATTTAAACCTGAAGGGTTTAATATAACTCACTATAGCTTTTCTTGTATGACAGGTCCAGTGCTAATGAACTCCCTCAGTTTCTGTTTACCTAGAAATGTCTTGATACCTCCCTCATTTTTTGAAAGATAGTTTTGCTGGATTCTTGCTTTAGTTTTTTTCCTTCAGCACTTTGAATGTATCAACCAATTGCCTTCTGGCCTTCAATGTTTCTGATGAGAAATCTTCGATAATCTTATTAGGGTGCCCTTGTATTTGATGATAAGCAAGCAAAACAGACTCATTGCTAATATGGAAAAAGTTCGAGTGGTCTTGATAGAAGTTCAAACCAGCTGCAACATTCCCTTAAGCCAAAGCCTAATCCAGAGCAAGGCCTTAATTCTCCCAATTCTGTGAAGGGTGAGAGAAGTAAGGAAGCTGCAGAAGAACAGTTGGAAGCTAGGAAAGGTTGGCGTGTGAGGTTTAAGGAAAGACACCATCTCTATAGCCTAAAAGTGCAATGTGAAACCACAAGTGCTGACACAGAAGCTGCAGCAAGTTATCCAGATATCTAGCTAAATAATTGGTGAAGATGACTACACGAAACCACAGATTTTCCATGTAGTTGAACTTAGGACTTCCTTAGAAAGGAGAAGTCATTGCCTGGCTCTAAAGCTTCCAAGGGCAGATTGACTCTCTCAGTAGTGGCTATGCAGTTGGTGACTTTAAGTTGAAGCCATTGCTCCTTTACCATTTCAAAAATCCTAGGGCCCTTAAGAATTATGGTAACTCTACACTGCCTGTTCTCTTATCAGTAAAGCAACAAAGCTTGGATGACAAGCACATCTGCTTACAGTATGTTTTACTGAATATTTTAGGCCCGCTGTGGAGACCTCCTCAGAAAAAAAGATTACTTTTTAAATATTACTGCTCATTGACAATGCACCAGATATACAAAAGCTCTGATGGAGATATACAAGGAGATGAATGTTGTTTTCATGCCTGCTAACCCAGCGTCAGTTCTGCAGCTCATTATCAACGTCCATTCTGCAGCCCATTATTTCAACTTTCAAGTCTTATTATTTAAGAAATACATTTTGTAATAGACAGTAATTACTGCCATAGATAGTAATTCCTCTGCTGATAGATCCAAGGAAACTTAATTGAAAACCTTTTGGGAAAGATTCACCATTCTAGATGCCTTGAAAAACATTCAGTCTTCATGAATGTTCATGGAAGGAGGTCAGAATATCAACATTAATAGGAGTGTGTAAGAAGTTGATTCCAATCTTCATGGATGAGTTTGAGGGGTTCAAGACTCCAGTGGAGGAAATAACTGCAGAGGTGGTAGAAATAGCAAGAGAACTAGAATTAGCAGTGGAGCCTGAAGATAGGACTAAATTTTATCAGGCCCATGATGAAACATGAACAAATGAGGATTTGCTTCTTATGGATGAGCAAAGAAACTGGTTTCTTGAGATAGGATCTACTCTTTGAGAAGATGCCATGAACATTGCTGAAATAACAGCAAAGGATTTAGAAAATTACATAAACTTAGTTGATAAAGCAGTGGCAGGTTGTGAAAGGATTGACTCCGATTGTGAAGAAAGTTGTGCTGTGGATAAGCAGCATGGCATGCGAAAGAGAAAGCCTTTCTTGGAAGAGAAAGTCAATATGGGAAACTTCATTGTTTTCTCATTTTAAGAAATTGCCACGCTGGGCATGGTGGCTCATGTCTGTAATCCCAGCACTTTGGGAGGCCAAAGCAGGCAGATCGCTTGAGGTCAGGGGTTCAAGACCAGCCTGGCCAATATGGTGAAACCTTGTCTCTACTAAAAATACAAAAATTAGTTGGGTGTGATGGCAGGTGCCTGTAATCCCAGCTACTTGGGAGGCTGAGGCATGAGAATTGCTTGAATACCAAGATCGTGCCACTGCACTCCAGCCTGGGTGCCAGAGCAAGACTTCGTCTCAAAAAAAAGAAAGAAATTGCCACACCCACTCTCACCTTTGGCAACTGCCACCCTGATCACTCAGCAGCCATCAACGTCAAGAGAAGACCTTCTGCCAGCAAAAAGATAACAACTTGCTGAGGGCTCAGATGACCCTTAGCCTTTTTTGGCAGTCAAGTATTTTTAAATTAAGGTATATACATTTCTTTAGACATAGTGCTGTTACACACTTAATAGACTACAGTATAGTGCAGTGTAAACATAACTTATATGCACTGGGACACCACAAAGTTAGTGTGACTCGTTTTATTGCAATACTTTTGTTGTGGTGGTCTGGAACAAAACCTGACGTATGCCTGTATGGAAAAAAAAAAAAGAGGCTATTTGGTTGAGACATGAAACATTGGTTCTTGAGAAGCCCAGGTCTATTGATGTAGAGTAACCTTTCCTTCATTACAGGTCTGACCATACTATTTGATTGTCCCATGAATAATATTCATTTACTTACACCATTGGAAACACCAAATTGGCGTTCAGTTTTTAGGATTTATCAATAGACAAAGCACCGAAGACTTAAGTATAGTTACAGAACAGACTGAAAATGTTATAAACCCTGTCAGTGTAAAAGAAATGGTATAGTTGATGGATGTCAGCTGAAAGCATGTTATAATTTTTTTTTTAAAAAAAAGCAAGAATGAATTGGAGGCCAGAGACAGGGTGATGGAGCCACCAGGGTTGCAAAGGCAGAGGTTGATGGAGCCACCATGGGCCTAGAGGACAGAAATACAAATTACTGAGGATTAGTTACAGACCTTGAAATCGAATTTCCCTTGCTGGGTTTAGAACTTGCTTGGAATCAGTGATGTTTTTATTTCTTCCAATTTCTCCCTTTCTGAGTGGGAATATCTGTCCTAGGCCTTTTCTACCATTGTATTTTGGAAGCAGATAACTTGTTTTCTAGTGTGAGAGGTCCACAGATTTAGAGGAATTTTGCCCCAGGGTGGATTATGCATAGAGTCTCACCCATTCCTGATTTGGGTTATAACACTTGGGACTTTTGAGCTGATGATATTTAAATGAGATTTTGGACTTTGACTTGATACTGCACTGGTTGAGACTTCTGGGGATATTGGCTGTAAAGTATGGCGTATGGGCTATAAAGTACATTCTTTGGTCTGAAGACATGTAACTTGGTGGGGGTGCAGTACCTTCTGTTCCAGTCATCTTACGGTATTTTGAGCTTTTGTATCTACCATTGGGTATGCAAAGCCCAATCCACTGTAAACGTCTATTTCCAAGAATTACCATTTATAGCTTCCTGGGGATAGTGGCAGTAGCTCAGTGTAGTGTATTTGCCAACTATATATGGGAGTGGGGGGACTTTTTTCTGGGGAATATATGCCATAGTCATCTGCAGTCTCTTTCTCCCTTTCTGGCAGACAGGATGGCTCTTTCTGGAATTTTGTGCATCAGAGGGTACAAGAGGAATATATCAATGGCCAGCCCATCTCTGTCTGCATTGCTGCATATCTCCCATATCTTTTTTATTTTTATTTTTGGAGACAAAGTCTCACTCAGTCGCCCAGGCTGGAGTGCAGTGGCGCGATCTCGGCTCACTGCAAGCCCCGCCTCCTGGGTTCACGCCATTCTCCTGCCTCAGCCTCCTGAGTAGCTGGGACTACAGGTGCCCACCACCACGCCTGGCTAATTTTTTGTACTTTTAGTAGAGACGGGGTTTCACCATGTTAGCCAGGATGGTCTCGGTCTCCTGACCTCATGATCCACCCGCCTTGGCCTCCCAAAGTGCTGGGATTACAGGCATGAGCCACTGTGCCCGGCCAATATCTCCCATATCTACTTATTTTGGGGACCCAGATAGCCACCTCAAACAAGCATGCTGGGACATCCACTTGCTGGTTCCAGTCATCTCCTGATCCTGAAAGAAGTTCTTTTGATGACCATCAACATGTCCTACTTTAATTCACCCCTTAAATTCCCATAATGATTCTCATAGAGCCATGCCTCATTAATCACCCATCCATTTATTATTTATTTTGTTTACTTATTTATTTTTGAGATGGAGTTTTGCTCTTGTTGCCCAGGCTGGAATGCAATGGTGCAAACTCAGCTCACTGCAACCTCTGCCTCCCAGGTGCAAGAGATTCTCCTGCCTCAGCCTCCCAAGTAGCTGAGATTACAGGCATTCACCACCACACCTGGCTAACTTTTTGTATTTAGTAGAGGCGGGGTTTCACCATGTTGGTCAGGCTGGTCTCAAACTCCTGACCTCAGGTGATCCACCTGCCTCGGCCTCCCAAAGTGCTGGGATTACAGGCGTGAGCCACCATGCCTGGCACATCCATTTAATAGTCTAGTTTTTCACTGCCTGTCAGCCTGACCATATGGCCAGGCAAATGGCCACAGCCCATTCATGGGTGTACATCCACACATGAAGGTTATGTTTGTTTAGTTCATCCATCATTGCAAGGAGAACAATGTACAATTGAGCCCTTTGAGCTGATTTGTTGTTCTTTCATCAGTTTCACATCAGTCAGTTATAGTGTGACAGCCTTCCAAACAGGATGCTGGCTGATTACCTTTGAACTGCTATCATCTGTAAAACAAGCCACTTTTTGGTGGTCAGTGAGAGCTCTTTGTAAGACACTAGCATTTGAACAGTAGGATGTGGCAATAGGATCTGGTAGCTTTACAGATGGTTCCAAAGTTGATCTGGAAGAAAAGAGGAGGCCAAGCGTGATGACTCATGGCTGCAGTCTCAACACTTTGGGAGGCCAAGGCAGGAGAATCGCATGAGTCCAGGAGTTCAGACTCAGACTCAGCCTGGGCAACATAGTGAGACTCCCATCTCTACAAAAAATAAAAATTAGCCAGGTGTGGTGGCATGCCTCTGGTGATACCAGCTACTCATTTGGCTGAGATGCGGGATTGCTTGAGCCTGGGAGGTCAAGGCTGCAGTGAGTTGTGATTGCCCCCACTGTATTCAGCCTGGTTGACACAAAGTGAGACCCTGTCTCAAAAAAAAAAAGGTTTTCTTCTATTGAATATGGTAAGTGTCTTCTTGCATTCCTCAGCACATTCCCGTTAAGCCATTTTCATTTTGTTATTGGTACTCGTTAGAGTGTTTCTCTGACATTACCCAAGACATGGATATTTTAGGTTTTAGGATTATGTTATGTCCTTCAGTCATAAAGACAGTTGCAGTTAATGCCCGGGAGCAAACCAATAATCGTCTCTCTAATGATGTGTTCTATACTTTCTTGTCTGGCCCATGGTCCCAGTGGTTACTGCTGGACAGCATTCATGGGCTTTTTGCCATAAGCTCCAGTCTGAGTTGCAGATACTTCTAAAATCATATCTGAGTGTATATCGTAAGGACCCAAAGGCATTAATTGAGCCACTGCAACTTAGATAATAGCCTGCTGTTGTTTAGGTTTCCATTCATATGTGTCCTTTCAGGTAGTTTTACGGATTGGATTTAGCACTAGTCCCCAGATACAGAATTTTTCTTCGCAAAACTCAAGCAAACCAGCTGCAGTGAATGCTGCTTGTTTACTTTCATGGTTATGTAATAAGAGCAATTTAATTTTAGTTGCCTGTAGAATGTTATGGGTGGTTCCTGCCCAGGTTATTCGTAAGAATTTCACAGTTTGGTTAGACCCTGGGGTATTTGCTGGATTTATCCTCCAGCCTGTGGTATTCCTGTGAGCCACCACTATTTTCAAGTTAGCCCTAGCTTGTTCTTAGGTTTCTGATACCGTCATAATGTCATCAGTGTAGTATATTATTGTATTCTGGACCTGTATCAAGTCAGAATCCCTTCGAAACAAATTATAATGGTAAGCTGATAAATGCAGATAAACCTGCAGCACTGCAGTAAGTATAAATTGGGATCATTCCCACTAGAAGGCAAAGTGCAGTTGTTTTTTTCCTGAGATTGGGACCAAGAAAAAAGTATTTTCAAGATCAATCAGTATGTCTCTCTCTCTTTTTTTTTTTTTAATTGAAACAGGGTCTCACTATGTTGTCCAGGCTAGTCTTACACTCCTGGACTCAAGTGATCCTCCTGCCTTGGCCTCCCAAAGTGCTGGGATTACAGGTGTGAGCCACTATGTCTGGCTGAGTATGTCTCTTTTAGATTGTTTTATTTTGAGAACTTCTGAAACCATGTCAGAGACTGCTGATGCTGTAGATGATACTATATTATTCAAGTCTTGATTATCTGCTGTGAGTTTTCATGAATAATTCACCTTTTTCATGCACGACACAGAACTTGTTGGTAACAGCACTCCAGTGTCGAACATGTCATTAATTCATGTGCTAAATCTCTTTTGGTCCACCATGATACTGTTTCAAATTAACAACCTATGTGAGCTGGGGAAGTTGCACAGATTCTCATTTAGCCTGTTCTGACTGAAGGGAAAACTAACAAGCTTTCTGCAGTATAGTAGCTGAAGTTTTCCCTGGTCAAACATCATATCCTTCCCCAAAACATATTCAGGTAATGTGGATGCAAGTACTTCCAAGATTCATTCAAACATACTAATTTTCATCCAAATTTTAATTTAATCCTATCAGCCATTTCATCCTCATATCCTGTCTTTCTAGTTATTGCCTCTGCTAGGATTTTACCAATAGGTTTTGGAATCAGAGGCACTGAATTCTATGTCAGGAACCCCTGGAAGGTTTCTTTTTTACCTTCTATTGTACCTACAGGTGTGCATATGGCCTTCAGTCCCTACTAGGAGATTAGTTAAAAGAAAGCCCTGGTTCTGTGTCAGTCCTCATCCTGATTAATTTGGTAGCCCATCACCTCTGATGATTTGAACTGAGGTTCTTCATTGTCATTTTTGCTTCCCAGCTTGGTGCATTCTTTGAAATTAGGGTGCATAGAGTGTTTGTTTAGGGCCCTTCAGTGTTGGGGGACTAAGAGGCGCTCCCATTGGTAAACCTAACTTCTGATAGTGCAGCATTAAGACCTTTGTGTTAACATCAGTGTCCATTTTATTCATCCCATCTCTTAGTAACCGTTTAAAACTTCATCCTGCTTGGGACTTCGTTGACTATCTGTTTTGTGTTACCCATTCACTTGTGATTCAGTCTTATTTTCTTAGCATCTGTAAGACCCATATTAAGAAGCTGAGACAACAAATCTGACACATTTCTTGGACCATTGATAGATTTTGCAGCAGTTATATCAGATGCCTGCCTAGCGGGGCCCCTTCAGTCACAGTATTTACCATGATTTAAAGGGCATATTAAGGATGAACAAACATCCTGATGACCATGAAGTTAATCCAGCATGGTTTGCATATGCAGCTTACCAGCTATGTCATCTATGGAGGAGTGCCACTTGGCATTTAAAGGAGGGGAAGGACCATTTCCCTTTTCAGGGTAAACAAATTTTACAGTGGCTTTTACCCAGTCCACCAGACTAGCTGTCCCTTTAGGAACAATCTATTGTGTGTTTGGATCATGTACAACAATCCATGATTGTTCAGTAATAAGGTTCCTGCATCAACCCCAAGCAGACTTCTTCATTCTGCAACATTCAGAATCAAAGATACTGCTCCCAAGTTAGTCACTCTCACAATCTATTTTCTTAAATGTTTTTCAGGAACCCGATGAATACCAGTTCACAAGGCAAGATAACTCCTTCACACATAACCCCTGCTTCCAGTACTGTCTTGGTTTTGTCACCCACCATTTGGACAATGTTCCTGGTGGTCAAAGGCCATAGATATACTGTCTGTTTTTTTCAGCATAATTTTCCATTGGGTTTATCCTGGAGGCTAACAGCCATAGCTCAAGCTAACCAAAATCCAAGCTTTTTGAGCATCAGGATTTCCTTAACACTCTCTCTTACTTTCATTTTAGCTGTTTTAAAATACAGCAGACTGGGCCAGGCGCAGTGGCTCACATTGGTAATCCCAGTACGTTGGGAGGCCAAGTCGGGCAGATCACTTGAGGCCAGGAGTTTGAGACCAGCCTGACCAACATGGTGAAACCCTGTCTCCACTAAAAATACAGAAAATTAGCTTGGCTTGGTGGCATGCGTCTGTAATCCCAGCTACTTGAGGGGCTGAGGCAGGAGAATCACTGGAACCCAGGAGGCAGAGGTTGCAGTGATCTGAGATCATGCCACTGTACTCCAGCCTGGGAGACACAGCGAGACTCCCTCTCAAAAAAAAAAAAAAAAAAAAAAAAACACAAACTGCAGTGGCAATAAGACCAGCAGCTCCTCACTTCTGTCTCTAAAGTGGGGAAAGGGCAAGGGTGGAGGAGGCTTTCTGTAATACCTGGAAGCTGACCGACAGAACTTTGATGAGTACATGAAGGCTCTAGGGATGGGCTTTGTCACTAGGCAGGTGGGAAATGTGGACAAACCAAGAGTGATTATCAGTCAAGAAGAAGACAAAAGGTGGTGATCAGGATTCAAAGTATGTTCAAGAACACAGAGGTTAGTTTCCATCTGGGAGAAGAGTTTGATGAAACCACTACAGATGACAGAAACTGCAAGTTTGTTGTTAGTCTGGACAGAGACAAACTCATTCACATACAGAAATGGGATGACAAAGAAACATATTTTATAAGAGAAATTAAGTATGGTGAAATGGTTATGACTTACTTTTGGTGATGATGTGGTTGCCGTTCACCACTATAAGAAGGCATAAAAATGTTCATGATTTGGAGCTGGAAGAGCTCTTTAGTTTTCCTCTTTACTCAAGTCTCAGTGCTATCCTGCTGTTACAGTATGGTTGATTAAATGGTTATTCTTGGTGTGGAGGTGGAAAATGGTGATTTAAGAGTTTGTTATTCCAAGCAGTTAGCCTAATTTTAACCTGGAAGTTTATCATGTTTTATAATTAAATTTTTGTCTTAAAAAAAGTGGATACATTTTATAATTTCCTTTGAAATGCAAATCAAATTGGAATAAAAATCTTACATGTGGGGAAAAAAGTACACGTTACCAGTGGATTGTGTATTTAGCTTGTTTCTCATCATTTTGCATTTCTTTATGTATCCAGTGATCTAAGTCCTTGAGATTTTGGTCTGTCATTTCTAAATTCCATTGACAACTTCTATATGTAGTAACAGCACAGTACAGCTGCCGTCTCATGCCATTGGTGACTGTATACCCATTTAGGCATCAGAGTTTGTCATTGTCTGCCCTGTCATTCTTCCTTTTTTGAAACAATGTTTTTGCCATGCTTTAATGAGTCCTACTTATGATGGCAACTGTGTCAGCTGTCCCTAAGACCACTCTCAGGCTCAGTGAGTCATGACTCACAAGACTCAGAAAAGACTCATGGTTATTGTTTATGATAGTGAAAAGTACAGATTAAAATCAGCAAAGGGAAAACCACATAGAGCAAAATCCTGGAGAAACCAAGTGCAAGCTTTAAGGTATCTTCTTCCAGTGGAGTCACATGGATGATGTGGTGAAATCAAGGATCTCCAGAGAGACAGACACAATCGGATACATATACATATATGAGAGAGAATTCACTGGGAAATTGGCTCATGTGATTATGGAGGTTGAAAATTCCCAAGACAGGCCATCTGGAAGCTGGAGACCTTGGGATGCTGGTAACGTATCTCCGTCCAAGTTCCCTGGGAAGCTGATGGTGTAATTCTTAGTCTGAGGCTAAGGGCCAGGAACCTGGGTTTTGGTGGGAAACTAGGGAGTTGCTGGTATAAAGCCTGGAGTCCAAATGTCAGAGAGCCTAGAGTTCTGATGTCCAAGGACAGGAGAAGAGGAGTGTCCCCATTCCAGGAGAGTGCCTTTTCTTTGCTTTTTTGGGTCCTATTTGGGCTCTTAGTTGATTGGATGGTGTCTGCTCACATTGTGGGTGAATATTTCTCACTCAGTCCATCAATTCACATTCCAGTCTCCTCTGGAAACACAGAAACAGCTATTAGTAATGCTTTACCAGTTCTCTAGGTATTCCTTAATCCAGTCAAGTTGACACATAAGTGCATCTGTGATGGTTAATTTTAATTCTCCCAGTAGTGAAGTGTTGTCAACTAAAGAAGCTTACCTGAGCCTTGGTGTCCAGGGTTTTTATTGGAAGTCAGTCACATAGGCAAGCAGTACCTTCATGACTGCCCTGAGATGCTCAGATTCCAACCTCTCAGAGCAAAATCAGGCACGAAGTATTAATCATGCATCCTGTTGTTTGCATAAACTATCTAGTCAAACTGGTACCATGTGGCCCAAGATCTCCAGCATACAAAAATACTCTGACCAGGCAGAATATTTCAGAGGCTCAGAATTCATTTCCCAGGAGTTGGCCAACGGCGCCAGTTCTGAAGACTGACTTTTTTGGGAATGTGTAGAGTTTGGGCAACCCAGGCCTGATGTGTTACCCTTTTTCTGCACGTAAGTCCATTAAAATAACCCAATGCGTTTGCTTGATTACTGGCATCTCTTTTTCCTTGGACTCTTAAGTTCTTACTGGTGGATCTTAACTGAAATCTCTTAACGTGATCAGCCAGTTACTTTGTTCTCTTCTTTCATATTCTTTTGAACCTCTGTATTAAACATTGCATCAACGATTGTGGTTTATTGTAGGAAGCAGATAATGGTTTGATCTGCTATACCTTCATCAACTGTCATTGTTCTATTGGGAGTATGATTTCAGTGATTTATGTTCTAGAGTTATTTCATGTAGTTCGTGTAGCTTCTATTCTTCAGCAGCATGCACCAAGGTTATTCGTTATTTACTAGTTCATTCACTCATTATTTCAATAAATATATGTCGAACACCTAATTATTTGCTAGGTACTGCTCTAGGCACTGGGACCATTTGAACGAATAAAACTGACAAACTCCTCTCCTTTGGGAAATTTTATTCAAGTCAGCAATTAGAGAATAAATAATACACATAATAAATAAACCATAGAGTATGTAATAAACTAATCCATACTTACAGAGAAAAGTGGAGTAGGGAAATAAGGAATAATGATGGTAGCGATTTTGGGGACTTAATGCAGTTTTAAATAGCATGACTATGGAAGGCCTCACTGAAAGGTGAAATTTCAGCAAGCATTTGAAGGAGATCAGGAAGCAAGTCCTTTAGATATTTTGAAGGAAGAATGTTCCAGCAAGGGGAAATAGCAATTGAGAAGGCCCTGAGGAGGGAGCTTACTTAGCACATTCTAACACATTCTTTGAATAGCTAGGAGTCTAGCATGGTGTGGAACAAGAATGGTGTAGGATGTTTGTAAGGATATTGGCTTTTACTGTGAATGAAGTGGGAAGCCTTTGGAAATTTTTATGCCGTGTAGTTACACAGTCTAGTTTTCAGTATCACTTTGGCTGCAGTGTTGACAATAGACTGTGGATTGGAAGCAGATAGTTTGCTAATTGCAGCAGTAATCTAGATAATTGATGATAGTGGCTTGTACTAGGGTAGTAGCAATGGAGGTAGTGATGATAATGAGACCTTGGGTGTATTTTGATGAAGAACCAACAGGATTGCTTGACAGATTGAATGTAGAGTATGAGTGGGAAAAAAAAGGAGTTGGAGATCATTGTTAAGATGTTTGGTCTAAGCAACTGAAAGCATGGTATTGCCATTCACTACATTGAAGTTGACTGCAGGAGAAACTTTTCAAGGGGAGATTTGGAATTAGGTTTTAGATATGTCAAATTTGCTATTTTTGTTAGATACTCCAGTTTATGTCACTGATTATACATCCATGCCAAATAGGCATTTTTTAAGTTTAGGAAAGAAGTCTAGATTTGAGGTATAAATTTGGAAGTCTGTCAGCATATATCCTGTATTAGAGCCATAGTCTGAATGAGTTTACCAAAGGAAGAGTGTACCCAGTGAAGAGAATTCTGAGGACTGAGTCCTGGAGATGCTTACAGAATAAGGGTTTCAGAGCAAAGGAAGCAGCAAATGAGACTGCGGAAAGACAACCACTGAAGAGGAGGAAGATGAAGAGATTAGGATGTCCTGGGACCCAAAAGAAGAACACGTTTTCAGGAGGAAGGAGTGATCAAATGTGTTAAATGTTACGTTTATGGCTTCTCTTCTGAGTAGGAAGTAAGATCGCATTTTGAAAGTGTGAACGAGTGAGGCTGAGATAAAGAGAGACAAATAAATGAAAAGCTCCTGTGCTTGGAAGTCAGCACAGACCTGGGTTCTAGTCTTAGCTTAGTAGCTTGACTAGGTAAGGGTTAGTGTGTACATTTAAGTATACCTACCAGGCAAGGAAGAAGGCCTGGGAAAGATTTGAAACAACCATCCTGAGAAATTGAAGAGTGACCTAAGTAGCGATGGATGAAAGAGGCCTCAGAAGATTCAGCTGAGTTTTTAGGGAGATTCCAATGGTGTTAGTCAATATGTTTGTGTAAATTTATCTTTAGATGTGAAATATAGAGTTAAGAGGGTAGAGATGAACTTGTCCCAATACCGCGTATGAGAGAGGCAGAAGAAAGACTGGAGTCCAAAGTGATTATATCATGATGGAAGTCAAAGGAGTTCATTTGGCCTTCATCTAAGGAATATTTGGAACTGGAGCATCAAGAACAAAGTATCAAACACAATACTCGAGAAAGGCGCAATAATGTTTGTAGTTAACAGAGAACAACGGTGCTTTCATCTCCATCAAGGTGAGAAATCTTCAAAAAAAGGAATAGAAATCAAGGAACAGAAGACAGTCTGACAGCTGGAGAATGGAAGAAGTATTAGAAGTCATTATCTGGGCCAGTGCTCAAGTTTTCAAGAAACAAAAGTTAGAACCCAAAATTTAGAGCTTGATAAGTGTGACATGTCTCCTCTGGCAGGAAAAAAAAAAGTATACATTGCTAACATATGGCTTGTTGAGACAGTGGAAAAGTAAATAATAATCACTGGTAATCATTGTTTAATTTGTAAAAGTGTGTCATATCACTACTCATCAGGGAAATGCAAATCAAAACCACAATGTGATATCATCTGTATTAGTTCATTCTCACACTGGTATAAAGAACTGCCCAAGATTGGGTAATTTATAAAGAAAAGAGGTTTAATTGACTCACAGTTCTGCATGGCTGGGGAGGCTTCAGGAAACTTACAGTCATGATGGAAGGGGGAAGAGGCATGTCTTGTGTGGTATCAGGCGAAGAAAGGGCGAGTGTGTGAAGAGGAACTGTCAGACACTTATAAAACCATCAGAGCTCCTAAGAATTCACTCACTATCACAAGAACAGCGTGGGGGACACTGCCCCCTGATCCCAGTCACCTCCCAGCAGGTCTCTCCCTCGACATGTAGGGATTATGGGGATTACAATTCAAGATGAGACTTGGGTGGATACCTAACCATATCATCATCTCACCCCAGTTACAATGACTTTTATCAAAAAAACAAAAAAATCACAGATGCTAAAGGGAACTCTCCTATGCTGTTGGTGGGAATGTAAATCAGTATAACCACTATAGAAAACCATATGAAAGTTCCTCAAAAACTAAAAATAGAACTACCATATATATATCCAAAACAAAGGAAATCATCATATCGGGGAGACATCTACACCCTTAGGTTTATTGCAGCACTATTCACAACAGCCAAAATATGTAATCAACCTAAGTGCCCATCAATGAATGAAAGGATAAATGCGATATATGTACAGAGTGGAATATTACTTAGCCATAAAAAGAATGAAATCACGTTATCTGCAGCAACATTGATGGAAATGGAACCCATTATGTTAAGTGAAATAAGCCAGGCACAGAAAGACAAATATTGCACATTTTTGTTCTTATGTGGGAGCTAAAAAACGGGATTGCATCAAGATAGACAGTAGATTGGTTGTTCCTAGAGGCTGGGAATGGTAGGGGGATGGGGAGATGGAGTTGATTAATAGGTACAGAAGTACAGTTGTAATAAGACCTAGTGTTAGATAGTTCAGTAGGGCGACTATAGTTAACAACCACCTACTGTGTATTTTAAAATAGCTGGAAGAGAAGAATTTGAATGTCTCCAGCATAAAGAAAAGTTAAAGGTTGGAGGTGATGAATATCCCCATTACCCTAATTTGGTCATTACACATATGGAATGTGTCAAAACAACACATGTACCCCGAAAATGTATACAACTATTATGTATCGAAAAAACATGTGCCAAAGTAACATTTCTCTACCCTCTTCCCGTTTCTCCCACCTGATTCGTGTCTTCCTCTAGGTCTCATTTATAGCTCTGGGTGGATGGAGGAAATGGTTTAGACGGAATGTGTCTTGATTTCAACTAGACTTGTGGTCAATTTGGAGAAAATAATGTGAGCAGAGTACCTAGTGAAGTAGATAGTAGGTTGTTTGAAGATGGGAGGCAGTTTTGTGAAGTAGAAATGACCTTTACTATTGAACTTAGATGTGGGATCAGTTGGTGCAGGGATTAAAGGAGATGACACTCATGGTGTTCTTGATCATTAAGGGTAGAAATTTTCTTTTTCTCCTCTTGTTTGCCCTCTCCTACACCTCATTCCCTCAAATAACCTAATTACCACAAAACATCGAGAGGGTCAAATGAAAGGAGAACTTTAGATCGTGTGTAATAGAGGGTGAATGATAAATTGGAGAGGATTGGGAAAATAAAATATTAAAAAGACTATTCTTCTGCCTGAAGAAATAAAATCCCATTCCCCCTAATTCTTCTATGAAAGAAATTAGATTTAAAAGTTCATTATTTACTATTTTACCATGGATAAATATATGTAAATTTGTATTTCAAAAGCTTTTCCATGAAAAAAATACATTGTATCCCCAAGCATTTCTAGAACTCTTCATAATTATGATCAACAGATGGATTTTTTAAAAGGCATCACATTGTTTTAGTCACTGTTTTACTACTGTTATTTTTAACTTTTTGTTTTGACATGTTGCTTTTAACTGTAATTAAAAATTATTAGCATCTGTGTTTACTTTTTAGCTTGCGCATACCTTATCTTCATAGCAGAAACTAATTAGTATGTGAAATACAGTACCATTAAATATGCATTAATGGGAAGAAATTCTAATCTGATCAGCTGTAAAATATGTTAGAAAATACATTTTGGTATGTACATGGTGTTCATTCCAGTTCCATTCTCATAACAAATACTGTTTTTGCTTTTGCCTCCATACGTCTTTACTTGGTTCCTTGGATGTGGTCAGATTACAAATTTAGGGGGTAGAAAAGTCTTCCCTCATGAAAGTTACTAAGTGATTTAGAAAAATAACTATTATGCGTGATAAGCCTGTTTTAACAAAATAGAATGTAATACCCCACTGAAAATATTCAAAGCACTAGAATATCTTTTCTATTTCTAAATAAATTTCATACATACTTTTCTCTAGTCTTTTCCTAATTTCTTGACCCAGATCACTTAACATCTTAAACCACAACAGGTAGATGTTATCTTCTGTGAATTTCTTTCTGAACTGCCTATTAAAATGTCTGTGATTCACTCTCATGTTGGAGGCATGTAACTTTTATATTAGCACTGTTAACTTTATATCTCAGAACTATCCCCTTTTTCTTTTTCCGCTGCCACCATAGTAGTCCAAGCCATCCTCACTTCTCTCTTGGGGTTATGTAATGCTTTCCTAATTGATCCTTCTTAGAAGAACGTGAGTAGACTTTCACAAACATGTCACCCCCACCCCATCACTTTCTCTATGTCCCACACCATCACAATACCCAACTTACACTCTACCAATAGCATTGGTTCTCCCTTACAGCCCCGTTGACAATAGTGGATAACCTCCACTTTTTCCTTAATATCACTTATCAGAAAGAGTAATTATTTAAGTTGGATAATTTACTTGTTTGTGTTTTCCACTAGCCTATGAACTCTGTGAGCAATGGGATCTTATTTTTTTTATTAAGTTACCTTATACCAGCACTGTTCTTACCAATTAGTGAGTGCACATCAGCAGTTTTTTTTTTAAGTGAATGGACTTGGTTCAGTATATCACAAAATAGCCACTTGTATAATGCTTAATTATGTATTTCATATTCCCTCTGTGATGCTCATTAACTGTAGTATCCCCTTCTCTGGTTTTTCCCATTAACACTGATCACCATGTAAGTAGAACTAAAGCTCCATGAGAGCAGAGAATTTTGTCTATTTGTTCAGTGTCCTGTCTCTGATGTGCAGACGAATACCCAGAAGATACTTGTTGCATATGTGTTGAAGAAGTCGGTGGGTGGGTGGGTGGGTGGATGGATGAATGAACTCTTGCACACTTGACATCTTGGAATTCTTTCCTATGATACACAATTCAGTTCAATAGACATTTATTAGGTATCTGCTGTATGCTTACCATTATGTTAGGCACAGTGTATATGGAAATCAGTAAGTTCTGGTGTCATTTCTGCTTCTGATTTATTTTGTTTTACAATGTTTGCTATTCTAATTAACTTAGGAACTATAGTACGATATGACATTGGCTTTCAAATTGAGCACTTAAAACTGACTCCTATAAAACAAATAAGACTGAGATGATTTCATGTTTATGCTTTCCTTCACTCGTTGTTAATTATACTTTCTGTTCAGACACAATTGATCTTACCTTCTTTGAATGGTTGTGGGATCTTAGCTTCTTTGATTAATCTAGTTATCATTATCTTTCGAGTTTAAGGTCAAATATTTTTATAAAGATAACAAATATAATGCAGTGTCCTGATGTTTTGCTTTTCATGTCTTTCTTCCATCTAATTTTGATTTTCTGACAGTGTTAAGAAATTGATTCAGCAAGGGCTTTATTTAAGATCTTGCCAGAAGTGAAGAACAGAGATGCTGTGTTCGTTTCAGCAGTTGTCTTCCTTTCGTTTCTTCTTTAAGATAGTGTTACTTTTGAAATATGAAACATTATCTCCAGTTCTCCATATGTTGAAGAAAACACTAGTTTGCTTTTGATATCAATATGAGATTTATGCCCAAAGTTGGGGAAAACATTCTTAGTTTATTTTTGGTTTGAAATATACTTACATTTTAAAATGATCACCTACAGTAGGAGGGTTGTGAGCTTTTTTTTTTTTTTTTTTTTTTTTTAAGAAAAGCACATTAAACCTGTAGTCTCTGGAGCTAAGCTATGAGGACAAAAAAGCAAAAGAAGGATACAGTGGACTTTGGGGAGTTGGGGGAAAGGATGGAAGCAGGGTGAGGCATAAAAGACTACACATTGGGTACAGCATATGCTTCTCAGGTGATGGGTGCACCAAAATCTCAGAAATCACCACTAAAGAACTTATTCATGTAACACCACCTGCTCCCCAAAAACCTATTGAAATAAAAAAAAATGTGTAACACCCACGCCCCCAACCAAAGGAAAAAAAACAACCTGTAGTCTCTGCTACTTGGGAGTCTGAAGCGGGAGGATTCCTTGATCCTCAGGAGTTTGAGCTCAGCCTGGGCAACATAGCAAGACCCTATCTCTAAAAAAATAAATAAGGAAGCATATAAGGCTGGGCATGGTGCCTCACATCTGTAATCCCAGCTACTCAGGAGGCTGAGGCAGGAGTAATGCTTGAGTCCAGGAGTTCAAGGTTACAGTGAGCTGTGATTGTACCACTGTACTCTATCCTGGGCAACAGAGCAAGAACTTGGCTTTAAAAATTAAGACGCAAATTAAAAAGCCACAAGCAGAAAGGTATATATTTTTATACTCTGTTCCTTTCTATTTCTAAAATGTGTAATTTAGAACTAAATATTGCATGTGTATTCTGTGTTCTAATAACTAATTTATTTAAAGTAGGAGACTTTTAAATTCTTTGATATTTATTGGGAAATATATCCTTTCATCCCCCTGAATAAAATGTATTACAAACATGGAGATATTAAATTACCTCATGCAGAAATATTAGTTGATAAATTGTTCCCTTCAAGGAGGAAAGCTCAATATTTAATTTTCTGTGTCCCTGATAATTTTCTGACTGATTTTTGTATCATTATTGATATACTTTGATTAAGTATGAGTGAATTTATATGAACTTATACAATCATCTGAATTAAATCATTAATTTGAGTTTTTTTGTATTTTGGTGGAGAGAATGCTGAGTGGTAAAGGAAGCATGCCACTGTGTTTTAAAATCCTTTTCAATCTCTGGGCTTAACCTCTTCCAATTTTAGAGAAATAGTGAAATTATTATTATCAGTGCTCAAAACATATATTGAAGGTTTGCTTTTTTTCTTTTGTAGGATGAAGTGGCACACACTCTAACTGAAAGCAGAGTATTAAAGAACACTAGACATCCCTTTTTAACAGTAAGTGACTAGAGGACAGATGTTATAATCGTAACATTTGAAATTTAAGGAATTTTATGTTAGAAATTAAATTGTGAAAAATACTATTCATTTAGATATCTCATTTTCTTTGTGGAAAGAACGTAAGTCAAATTTCTTATAACTTATTAGAATGTATGGATTTTTACAGTGTGTATGCATTGATAATTCCTCCCATTATGCATTTATTACTTTTTTGAGAATTTTTTTTCTCCCATGAATCTCTTGCCATTAAAAACAAAAACAAACCATAGAGTTAATACATTACCTCTGGCATTTTAAGGAGACTATTGAGGAAATGGCTGATTTTTAAAAATTTCTTAAATGTAAAGATTTTATGTTTGTTTTATTGGCTTCTGATAAATATCTTAATGATCAGAAGCATTTCTTCAAATATGGAAGGCAGAAATGTTTATCGAATATATTTTATAGAAATGAGACTTCTTTGAGGGATAGAGTACTTTAAGAAATATGGGAATGCTAAATACATTAGAGGTGGGATAAGCCATGCTACGTTTTTTTCACTAGACAAAGTATAAACTGATTATATGGTATGCCTACAACTTAGTTGTCTTGAAAGAAACTGGATTTTTTAGTTCTGTTCTTAGATTCCTTGTAATATAGGGATAATTGGTAAAGTTTCTGTATTTTCTTGGTTCCAATGAACTATATTGAGATGAAAAATAATAGCTAGACTTTCCAAAGTGGAACCCTTTACACTGTTTGGAATATCTGAAATAGACATTTTCAGAGCTGTCAGTAGATACCTAGACTTACTTTGCTACCTTTTTTGGTGTGTTTATTGTCTAGTGTAATAAGATAGCATTTGGGTATTTTTTAATAACCTATATATAACCTACAAAATTATATAAACCAACTCTGTTAGGTTGGGTTCTGTTGTGCACTCAATATGCAAAAAGTGATGTTGTCATTGTATTAGAAACCTGAGTGTAACAACCGTAGCTACATTCCTAAGGAACTTCAACTAGTGTAATTTGTTGGCCACGCTGTGAGGTTGCATGGATGAGAACCTTGAGTACTAATGCAGCTTCAAATCAATGGCAAATTAGATTGAGAAGTGCTTGTTGCAATTAAGTTTACTTTTACTTGAAATTTTAATTTTAGTTTTTCTTGTAATAATACCTATTGTGAACTAAACATTTGTTTTATGTTTCTCATAAACTCTTAAGCACTTTTAAGTAGTAAATAAACTCTTAAACAATAACAATTCTTTTCATCTTTCATGCTTACTATTTCTATGTGTTCTATTTTTAGTACTATTATAATTATAAGAATACAGGATTATAATGTAACATTTTTTCTTTTTTTTATTTCAAGTCCTTGAAATATTCCTTCCAGACAAAAGACCGTTTGTGTTTTGTGATGGAATATGTTAATGGGGGCGAGGTGAGTCAAGAAGTAAATCCAGTATTTGCATGGTAGTATTTTCATTATTTTAAAAACATTACTTAAAATACAAGTTACAATATAGCAGTTCTCCATTTCTTGATAGGAATTTATGTAGCTCTTAATACTATTGAACAAATGGGAGCGAAATTATTTCTGATGAGATGTAATGATTGTTTTTATATAACTACATTTATATGTTGGAAAGCATAATCATATTCTTCTTTTTCCTGTGTTTTTAAATGTAAAAAGTTTTAACAGAAGTATGATTTTTGAAATCATGTTATTAAATTTTGAAAACCAGAAATACAAGATTTATTGTTTCACAAAGTTTCTTTTCAAGTAGGCTGTGAACATGGTCAAAAGTTATTTTACCCATTCTAAACTCAGTGGAACAATAGTCCATGGGCACATTATGGCTGAGTTTTCTCTTCTTTATAGTAGAGTACTATGACTATATATATATATATGTGTGTGTGTGTATGTATATATGAGGGTGTATATATATGTGTATATGTGTATATATATGTATGTATATATGTATATGTATATATATGGGTGGGTATATATGTGTGTGTGTGTGTGTGTGTGTGTATATATATATATATATATAATTTTTTTTTTTTTTTTTTTGAGATGGAGTTTCGCTCTGTCGTCAGGCTGGAGTGCAGCAGCACAATCTAAGCTTACTACCACCTCTGCCTCCCGGGTTCAAGCGATTCTCCTGCCTCAGCCCCCCGAGTAGTTGAGACTACAGGCGCGCACCGCCACACCCAGCTAATTTTTGTATTTTTAGTAGAGATGGGGTTTCACCATGTTGGCCAGGATGGTCTCGATCTCCTGACCTTGTGATCCATCTGCCTCAGCCTCCCAAAGTGCTGGGATTACAGGCGTGAGCCACCACGCCGGGCCTACCATGACTATATTTAAGAGACTGACAATATTTTGGAGATAAATTTAATATTTTTATTAGCACATTTCACTCATTCCTTTATTCCTTCTCCTTTCTCTTCCTTGGTTTTGATCACAGTCAATGTGAGGGAAAAGTAAATTTACTGGAAAAGCTAACTGGAAATATTTTTATTGTGGGCTTTCTGAAATAAATTTAATTATTAAATAGGGTCTTGTTTGTGTCTCATGAACTTAAAATATTCTTATTTTCCAAAATAAATAATTAAATATCCTTTATGGAATTTTTTTCCTGTAGAATTATCTGATTTGCAGGAATTCGTTTGTTGCAAAACTTCATTCATTCAGGGCTTGCATGGTGGCTCAGACTTGTAATCCCAGCAGTTGGGGAGGCTGAGGCGGGTGGATCACTTGAGCTCAGGAGTTTGAGACCGGCCTGGGCAACATAGTGGAAGCTTGTCTCTACAAAAAATAAAAAAATTACCTGGACATGGTGGCACACACCCAGCTCCTGTACTCCCAGCTACTGAGGAGCTGAGGCGGGAGGATCACTTGAGCCTGGGAGGTCAAGGCTGCAGTGAGCCATGGTCATGCCACTGCACTTCAGCCTGGGTGACAGAGCATTACCTGGTCTCAAATAAAAAAAAAAAAATCAAAACCCAAAACTTAATTCATTAATTTGGTAAACACATTTTGAGTGCCTAGGCAGTATGGGTTTATGAAAATGTGTTAAGATATTATCCTTGCTGTGAAGGAGTATATAACTTCCCTTAGTGTATTACAAATTAGAATGCATAGTGAAAGACCTAACTTCTAATAAAGTCATAAAAGAAAATGCTTTATGGATGATCTAGCACTTAGAGTAGGCTTAATGAGATTTCACCCAGGGAATTGATGTAAGAAGTTGTTTCAGGCAGAGAGGATGGGATGGGCAGAATCACTGGTGGATGATAGGACAAGATAATTAAATAATAATAACCCAGGAATACAGAACTGGGCCCTTGCAGTAAGATGTCTGAGAAAATACGAAGAAAATGGATGTTGTGGAACTGTAGGATTGGTACATCTTTTTTTTTTTGAGATGGGGTCTGGCTCTGTCATTCAGGCTGGATTGTAGTGGTGCCATCTCTGCTCACTGCAACTTCCACCTCCTAAGCTTAAGCTATCCTCCCATCACAGCCTCCTGTGTAACTGGGACTACAGGCATGCATCACCATGCCTGGCTAATTTCTGTATTTTTTTGTAGAGATAGGGTTTTGCCATGTTGCCTAGGCTGGTCTTGAACTGTTGGCCTCAAGTGATGCACCCACGTCAGCCTTTCACAGGGCTGGGATTACAGACGTGAGCCATCACACCTGGCCATATTGTTACATCTTAATGACCAATTAATTAGATCTTGGTAGAAACAAAAAGGTACAATGAAAAGTGATTTTTGGTTGGAATTTGGGAGCCTTAGCAGATACAGTGCAATTATGAAGAACATGTTAACCTTATAAATTTGGTTTTGAAACAGTTTTTCGTAAGCTTTTAAAGTAATGTATGTGTGGAACTATGATGGAGAGTGGATAAAGAGTCAAAACTGTGGATGCAGTTTTGGCAGCCATTCCCATAAAGATTATAATTTAAGTTATGGGGGTGGAAATGAAATTGATGAAACCTCTTACATCAGTATCTATCAAAATTTAAAATGCGCTTATACTTGGACTCAGCAATTTCATTTCTAAGAATTTATCCTACAGACGTACAGATGCACCACAGAATGATATATAGATAAGTATACTCATTGCAGCATTGTAGCATTTTAAATGAGCATTCGTAAGGAGTCTGCTTAAATAAAGTTACATTCATGCAGTGGAATCTCTATATCCATCTGAAAGAATGAGACAGCCCAATATGGGCATTAATAGAAGTTAAAAAAACTAGGTGCAGACGAGTATAAAGCATACTTCTGTTGTGTTAAAATAAAATTAGACCGTAAACATGTGTATATATGTTTGTCTATTGATCGAGTATCTCTGAAATTATGCACTGGGTATTAGTGCTTGTCTTTGGGAAAATAAACTGAGTGGCCAGGGATAAGATAGGAGGAAGACTTTTCATTTATGTATTTTTCAGTATCTTTTGTGTTTTGTGCCACATACATGTATTATCTAATAGTTGAAAGTAGACAGACAAATAAATGGTTGGATGAATGGATGACCAAGGGAAACAGTAAGACAGATAAAACAGTCCGCAGACAAAAACTTGGAAAAACACTATTAAATGTCTCTCTTTTTTAAACGGTATTGTGTGTTCATGTCTATAGTAACAATTTTCACATTGTTTTACAATTACCTATTTACTTGTCTGTCTTTCCCATCAAAGTGTTAGCTTTCTAAGAGGCTTGTTCACGGTATAACCCTAGCATCTTATTCACTGCTTGTACATAGTTGGTGCTTCACAAATATTCATTGGATTATTTGAATGAATAAGTGAACAAATGGATGAACATTCCCTCAGGGATTAGGGATAAGAGAAGTTAGCTAAAAGGGGTAAAATAGGAACTACTGAGGAGTAGGAAGAAAAATAGAAATTGATGTAGTATACAGTTTATTTTGTTAAAAAAGCTGAAAGTGTAAATTTAGGAGAGGATATCTTTTTATTTCAAAAATACATATGTATTAAGTCTTTGTGGAAGGCACTCTGGTAGATATCTAGGGCATAGAAATCTGAATTAAACATAGATCTTGCCCTCAAAGAGTTTATAGTCTACTGGAGAAAGGGTACAAAAATAATACTAAGTGTGAAATAATTATCACTTCTATCATAACAGATAGATAGATGGTGGGACTTTGGTGGGATGAGGGAAAGCTTCCTAGAGGGCGCTACCTGGCATCTGCACTTCTTTTCTAAACCCGGAGTACTTAAAGATTAATTAATTGATGATTATTGAAAAAAATTTTACACTAAAAGCAGATTTTCAGATTAGCCAGATGATTTTCTTTAGCATTAATACTCCTACATTATTTTTCTTGTTCAGCATATCTTTGTTTTTCTTCAGAATTTCTGTTTTGGATTGGGCTATAGATAAGTATTATTTAATATTTTGAAGCAAGTGAACTGATTCTCTAGGGTCTCACTCCATCACCCTGTCTGGAGTACAGTGGTACAATCTCGGCTCACTGCAACTTCTGCCTCCTGGGCTCAAGCAGTCCTCATGCCTCAGTCTCCCGAGTAGCTAGGATTATAGGTGTGCACCACCACACTTGGCTAATTTTTGTATTTTTAGTAGAAACGGGGTTTGGCCATGTTGGCCAGGCTAGTCTTGAACTCCTGACCTCAAGTGATCTGCCCACCTCGGCCTCCCTGTATGTGGTGTATAATTTTAACATGCGTAGGTAATTACAGTGTTGGTACACACACACACACACACACACACACACACACAGAAAATGAAAAGTTATTTATATTTAATAACTTTAGTAGGAAATAGAATTTTATATATTTAACCTCACAATTTTTTTTTTTTTAGATTATCAGATGTATTTTAAAATAGTTATTTAGTTCTTGGAGTATAGTAGGATTATTTCAATTCTTGATTTATCATGACTGGGGAGGAAATCTATGCTTGATGTGTTTATCCTTGTGGCAACTTGTTTAATTTTGGTTTTGCTTTGGGTTCACCTTGCCATTTATGCTGCCCAGGGATGCCTTATAAAAATGCAGAAAACGACCAGGCGTCGTGGCTCACACCTGTAATCCCAGCACTTTGGGAGGCTGAGGCGGGCAGATCACGAGGTCAGGAGTTCGAGACCAGCCTGGCCAACGTGATGAAACCCCATCTCTACTAAAAATACAAAAAATTAGCCGGGCATGGTGGTGGATGCTTGTAATCCCAGCTCCTTGGGAGGCTAAGGCAGGAGAATTGCTTGAACCCAGGAGGCGGAGGGTGCAGTGAGCCAAGATCACGCCACTGAACTCCAGCCTGGGTGACAGAGCAAGACTCCGTCTCAAAAAAAAAAAAAAAAAAAAAAAAAAAGCAAAAAACTTAATTACTGTAGAAAAAGTATTAAACATAGTAGTTATATTTTTGAAATAGGTTTAAAGTAAGGGAAACAATAAACACACGTAAACAATTCACACTAGCACAATCCACACATATACCAAGACTCAGCCAGTGGGGTAGGATCTGTATGGCATCTAAGGACTTGAGCGTGAGAATACTGGCCTTTTGTAAGCAAGCTCTGGTAAGTTCATAATACCAAAATGGCAGCACACTCAAATCTTTTTATATCAAGTTTTTGCCCTAAGATGAGCTCCTTTAGTGGCCTCGCTGAAATAACTAGCCCAATTTTTACTCAATTTATGCTTATTGTTCACTGATTTTTAATTAACAATAGCATCTTCTTCTTAGTCTATGCTCTAGAAAGTTTACCTTGAATTATAATTTGAGTTAGGGGTTTAGCATGCTCTTGATTATGCTTGTGATTTTTATGTGTTTGTCAATATAAGTCACATGCCATGTAGCAATGTTGAAGTCAATGATGGATAGCACAATGGTAGTCCGATAAGACAAACATGCACAGGTTTGTAGCCTAGGAGCAATAAGCTATACCATATAGCCCAGGTGTGTAGTAGGCTATGTTGTCTAGGTTTGTGTAAGTCACTCTGTGATGTTCACACAATGATGAAATTGCCTGTATTAGTTCTCACACTGCTGAAAAGAACTGCCCCAGACGGGGTAATTTATAAAGGAAAGAGGTTTAATTGACTCACAGTTCCGCAGGGCTGGGGAGTCCTCAGGAAACTTACAATCATGGTGGAAGGGGAAGCAAACATGTCCTTCTTCACATGGTGACAGGAAGAAGTGCTGAGCAAAGGGGGAAAAGCTTCTTATAAAACCGTCTTGTGAGAACTCGCTGACAATCACAAGAATCACATAGTGGTAACCACCCCCATAATTAAATTACGCACCAGGGCCCTCCCATGACATGGGGATTTTGGGAGCTACAATTCAAGATGAGATTTGGGTGGGGACACAAACTATATCATTCTGCTCCTGGCCCCTCCCAAATCTCATATCCTCACATTTCAAAACACAATCATGCCTTTCCAACAGTCCCTTAAAGTCTTAATTCATTTCAGCAATATCCCAAAAGTCCAAGTTCAAAGTCTCATCTGAGACAAGGCAAGTCTCTTCTGACTATGAGCCTGTAAAGTCAAAAGCAAGTTAGTTACTTCCTAGATACAATGGGGGTACAGGCATTGGGTAAATACACCCATTCCAAATGGGAGAAATTGGCCAAAACAAAGGAGCTGTAGGCCCCATGCAAGTCTAAAGTCCAATAGTGCAGTCATTAAACCTTAAAGTTCCAAAATGATCTCCTTTAACTCCGTGTCTGACATCCAGATCATGCTGATGCAAGAGGTGGGCTCCTATGGCCTTGAGCAGCACCACCCCTGTGGCTTTGTAGGGTACATCCCTCCTCCCAGCTACTTTCATGGGCTGGTGTTGAGTGTCTGTGGCTTTTCCAGGTGCACTGTGCAAGCTGTCAGTAGATTACCGTTCTGGGGTCTGGAGGACAGTGACCCTCTTCTCACAGCTCCACTAGGCAGTGCCCCAGTGGGGACTCTGTGTGGGGGCTACAACACCACATTTCCCTTCTGCAGTGCCCTAGCAGAGGTTCTCCATGAGGACTCTGCCCCTGCAGCAGACTGGTCATCCAAGTGTTTCCACACATCCTCTGAAATCTAGGTGGAGGTTCCCAAACCTTAATTCTTGTCTTCTGCACACCAGCAGGACCAACACCACATGGAAGCTGCCAATGCTTGGGGCTTGCACCCTCTGAAGCAATGGCCTGAGCTGTACATTGGTCCCTTTTAGCCACAGCTGGGACTGAAGCAGTTGGGATGCAGGGCACCATGTCCCAAGGCTGCACAGAGCCGGGTTGGGGGGCCCTGCTTTTGGGCCCTGGCCCTGGCCCACAAAACTGTTTTTCCCTCCTAGGCCTCTGGGCCTATGATGGGAGGGGCTGCTGCAAAGGTCTCTGAAATGCCCTGAAGACATTTTCTCCTTTGTCTTGGTGATTAACATCTGGCTCCTTGTTACTTATGCCAACTTTTGCAGTGGGCTTGAATTTCTCCCCACAAAATGGGTTTTTCTTTTCTATTGTATTGTCAGGCTGCAAATTTTGCAAACTTTTCTTCTCCGCGTTCTCTTCAATGCTTTGCCACTTAGAAATTTCCTCCACCAGATACCCCCAAATCATCTCCTTCAAGTTCAAAGTTCCTTAGATCTCTAGGGCAGGGGCAAAATGCCACCATTCTCTTTGGTAAAGCATAGCAAGAGTCACCTTTACTCCACTTACCAGTAAGTTCCTCGTCTTCATCTGAGGCCACCTCAGCCTGGACTTTATTGTCCATATCACTGTCAGCATTTTGGTCAAAGCTATTCAACAAGTCTCTAGGAAGTTCCAAACTTTCTCACGTTTTTCTGTCTTCTTTTGAGCCCTCCATACTGTTCCAGCCTTGCCTGTTACCTGGTTGGAAAGCTGTTTTTACATTTTTGGGTATCTTTACAGCAGCACCACACTCTCTGTGGTACCAATGTACTGTATTAGTCCATTCTCTGTTCTCATGCTGCTGTGAACTGCCCGAGACTGGGTAATTTATAAAGGAAAGAGGTTTAATTGACTCAGTTCTGCAGGGCTGGGGAGACCTTAGGAAACCTACAATCGTGGTGAAAGGGGAAGCAAACATGTCCTTCTTCACATAGGAGCAGGAGAGAGAAGTGCTAAGCAAAGGAGGAAAAGCCCCTTATAAAACCATCAGATTTCATCAGAACTCACTCACTATCAGCAGAACAGCATGGAGATAACCAGCCCTGTGATTCAATTACCTTCCAGTGGATCCCTCCCACAACACATTGGGATTATGGGAACTACAGTTCAAGATGAGATTTGGGTGGGAACACAGCCAAACCATATCTGCCTACCAGCAAGTTTCTCAGGCCATATCCCAGTTGTTAAGTAATGCATGACTGTATTTGGAGCACTAAAAATTTTTGATGAAAGTGAATTGTGAAAGAAATGTTGGCTGTGAAAAATCAGCCCTAACTTCTTACGGTCGTATTGGTACAATGGAATTTCATCATAGTTGCATGTAATTTATATGAATTCAAAGAAGTGGGCTCAATAAGATATAGCTGAGATAGACAAGTTGATTTAAATGATGTGATTATTCTGCTCTTTTTCTCAATTTCTCAATGAGTGTATTTACAGAGTGACCTTAGGATGAGAGATATAAATTTGCTATTCTTTACTCCTTGTTACTTCCTACTTTCCATGCATAGAGCTTCATGGAATATAAACTCTGGTGTTTTAAAATACAAAACTTACATAAAATGTCATTGAGTGCATTGTAACTGCAGGTGTTCATTTAAAGAAACTATTTTCTGGCCAGGCCTGGTGGCTCATGCCTGTAATTCTGGTGCTTTGGGCAGCTGAGATAGGAGGATTGCTTGAGGCCAGGAGTTTGAGACCAGCCTGGCGAACATGGTGAGATCCCGTGTCAAAAAAAAAAAAAAGTTAGCCATGTATGGTGATGTGTACCTGTAGTCCTAGTAAATTAATCAGGAAAGCTGAGGTGGGAAGTTCACTTGAGCCGAGGAACTCAGGGTTATAGTGAGCCATGGTTGTGCTACTGCACTCCAGCGTGGGCAACAGAGTGAGACCCTGTCTCTAAAGAAAATAAAAGAAAAAAGACTATATTATTGTACCAAAGATAGAAAACTGTCCTGGGTTTAACTATGTCGAGAGATGACAGTATGTTGGTCTCCAGTGTAATACCGTTCTAAGGAATGTTTGGGAGTGATTTGATTATTTTTGATACCTTATGGATTAACTTTATAATCTAGTACATTATCATTCATCTATTAAATAATGAGCAACTTCTGTGGGCTAGACCTCAGAAGATTCATAAATAAGGAAAACATACTATTTTTCCTTTGATGAGTGACTTACTGGGGAGATAGATGAGAAAATACTTGTATACACTGCAGTGACATGGTTGCTCTGATAATACTGGTTACTGTGCATGGAGAGAATGAGCACTTTAATGAACCTGAGGAGCAGAGGAAAGGAAAGCAAAGGGTGCCAGAGTAGGAAACTCTTCTTAAAAAGTGGTTGCTAGGCTAAGACGTAAGAATAACTATACATTATATCACTAAGGTTGGGAAGGAGAGCATTCCTACACAGGTAAAATGGCATGTGTAGAGTACACAGGAGCAGACAGGTTCCCCCACCCACCGAATATAGCACAGTGTGGATAATGCATAGAGTTCTGCAGAGGAAAGCCAGAGAGTCTGCACAGGTAGTCAGAATCACATTAAGACAGATCTTCACTCTCAAGTCATTTAGATGAAGGCAGTGGAGCATCATGGAAGAATTTCTTTGGGGGAAATGTTTAGAAAGAATACTTGGCAGTATAGAGGTTGAAGTAGAGAGGACAAAAGTGGAAGCAAGGAAAATACTTGGGAGGTTGCTGCAGTTAGAAGGTTTTCAGTAATTCACTTATAAAAATGATAAGGTTGTCGGATGTGGTGGCTCATGCTTGGAATCTCAGCACTATGGGAGGCTGAGGTGGGTGGATCACCTGAGGCCAGGAGTTTGAGACCAGCCTGACCAACATGGAGAAACCCCGTCTGTACTAAAAATACAAAATTAGCCAGGCCTGGTGGCGCATGCCTGTAATCCCAGCTACTTGGGAGGCTGAGGCAGGAGAATTGCTTGAACCTGGGAGGTGGAGATTGCAGTGAGCCTAGATTGCACCATTGTGCTCCAGCCTGGGCAACAAGAGCAAAACTCCATCTCAAAAAAAAAAAAAAAAAAGATTATTAATTGAAGCAGTGTTAGAAGGAAGCAAATTCTAGTAATATTTAGTTATTAGAATCACCAGGATTTAATGAATAAATATGCAGAGAAGTATCATATGATTTCCTGTTTGCTGCTTGGGGAATTGTGGATACTGGAGTATTTATAAAAATAGAAAACACAGGGAGAAGAATGAGTTCTTAAGCAGATCATGCTATATTTGAGGCACCTAGTGTGGCAGCCAAGGAGTGGGGAGAGTTAAATCAGAGATACAAATAGGCATCATGAGCAGTGTTAAAACCCAGGAAGTGAGGAAATATCCAATGTGAGGAAAGTATGTACAGTTAGAACATCAGTGGCCAAGGATGGTGCCTGGAAATGCCAGAGTAAGGCATGCTGTAGACACAGCTGTAGATGCAGTGAGACTAGTGCACAGGTGTAGAGGCAGAGAGAAGCCTAAGGAGGATCCTGGGCAGGAGGAGCCAGACAAGAGAAGCCTTAGAAGTTAAGGAGAGATTAGGTACAACAGAGTATATTAAATACTGTACAATGATAACTGAGAATTGTCCATTGGATTTGCCATCTAATAGTTCCTATGGAGACTACCAGGGATTCTTCCTTTTCTGGTTTGGTACAAGGTATGCACCTTGGCTGTAGTACAGAATGTAAAAGGGTTGGTTTGGAGCCCAGTAGAACAAGGTTGTAAGAGTGAGTTCAGTGCAATTTCAGTGGGGCATTTGTAGAACTGATTGTAAAATCTCTCTAATAATATGACCAATCACACTGCTAATATATCCAGGCAGCTCTCTTTTTATTCCTTAAATGTTACTAAATTTACATGAGAAGCAGAAAAATATCCTGGGAGAATAAAGTAGACAAAATTGACTAAGGAGGTGTTTTTGTTTTCTTTGGTTTAGGAAGTCTCTACTTAGGACTTGTTTCCAAAATCTTACTCATAGCTTCATTTATTTCAGGCTTATTTGTTGGACCTCTGCAAATCTCTCTCAAGTCTGAAGTTTCCTGAAGTTAAAGATTCATTAGGGGAGTAAAGGAAAATCATTGTGTAGAAATGCTATTCATCTGATAAATTCTTCACATTCCTCTATTTTCTTTATGTAGGTTGTAATGAAGCTAACAGTTTCAGTTATGTACTACTATTTTTGTCCATACTTAGTTCATTGTAAACTCTATATTAATTTCTTTGATAACATGTATTTGATTTTTTTGCAATACGGCTTTCAGGTTCTTGCCATTCTTGAGATTCTCATGCTTATTCAGATTTCTCATTTGGCTGGCATTTTGTTATCAGTGAACCAAAATTATCTCATTTTAAATTCACATAAGACAAAAGCACCAGTAGTCAGTATTCTAGTTCTCCTTACTAATTTACGGAGGTGTGATCTGGGTGATTTTTAAATTAATTTAATTATCATTTCATATTCATAGTGATGATTTTTAAAATTTTACAAAGTTTTCAGGTATATAAACATCTTTATTGTCAGGTGTCTGACAAGCTAATTTCTTTGCTAACTATTTTAGTTATTAATATATTATGTAGGTTGTATCAGAATTTTGTTTTTCACCCAATGCTTTTTCAAAATTCCCAAGTCAAGAAGGATGCATTACAATGTTTACATTAGCATCTAAAGGCAATGTAAAGTCGGGAAGCATTTTTAGTATATAATTTCATAATTCAAAGACATTTTTAAAAAATGAATGGTTAAACCAGTATCTCACTGCATTAAATGTAATTGAATGCATTGAATTTAGTTATTAGGAGATGTTATTACAAGCCTCAACATGTAACATGCTTGCTTACAAATCTAAAATCTCAGATCAAGTGGCTGGAACTGCAGGGGCCTGCCAGGCATCTGGGTATTTACATGATTCCTTTCCATGTGGTTATGGCAGAGCATGGCCATTTCAAGGTAGTCAAACTTCTTACACAAAGGCTGGCTTACCACAGAGTGGGTATTTCAAGGGAGGGAAAACAGAAGAAGCAACATATGTATAATTGGAAACCCTGAGGAGGAAAAAGAGGGCAGTGACACAAAACAGTATTTAAATATCAAAAACTATAATCTGAAAACATACTTACAGGCTTTTGTGTTCTCCATTTTTCACTTAGCATAATACTTTTAAAATTTATAGATACTGTTCCATATATCAGTAGTTTGTTTCTTTTTATGGCTTTGCTCCGTTGTGTGATGTACAGTCATATGTTTATATAGTTGCCCCTGGATAGACGTTTGGGTTCTTTACATTTTGGGCCTATTAGAATAAAAGCTCGTGAATATTCCAGTACAAATCTGTGTGTGAATATATATTTTTAATCTTCTTGGGTAAATACATAGAAATGCAATTTCTGTGTCATTTGTTATGATCAACTTCATTAAAAACTGCAGACTCTTTTCAAAATCAGCCATACCATTTTGCATTCCCAGGATGTTACTTGACAACATCACCACACTTGGCATGGTAGTCTTTTTAAATTTTACTCATTCTGGTGGATGTATAGTGGTATTTTTTAGCTTCAATTTGAATTTCTCAAATAACTAATGATATTGAACTTCTTTTCTTATTCTGATTTGCCATTTATACATCATCTTTTTTGAAGTATCTTAAAATCTTTTGTCTGTTTTAAAAATTAGGTTGTTGTCTTAATATTGAGTTGTCAGATTTATTTATTTCATGTAAGGGCTTTATCATATATATATTTTATAAATATTTTCTCCCATTTTATAGTTTGTCTTTTCATTTCATAATGGGAAATTGTTCCAAAATACACTTTTGTTGTAATCTATTGTAATCAGCATTTTAATGCATAGTTAGCATTCAGTAAAATTAATCAATTTTGACTGTACAATTTAGTGAGTTTTGACAGCTGTATAAAGCAGTTTCCCATCACCACAATCATGATCTAGAATGTTTCTTTCACAACAGAGCCTCGCATGTCTCTTTAAAGTCAATTCTCTCCCCTCACTCTCACCCTGAAAACCACTGATAGGCTTTCCAACCAGTATGAAGGGCAGACTTCTAAATTAGAGGAAACACAATTCATTGATTATTTTCTCTTATGATTTGTACATTTTGTTTTTAAAACATCTTTTTCTAACTGAAGTTTGTTAAGATTTTTTTCTAAAGTCAAAGCTAGACCTGTTGGGTGGTGGCAGGTCGGGGAGATTTTCTTTTATGCTTTCTTCTAGAAGTGTTAATAGTTTTAGCTCTTGCATTTAGGTCTATGAGCCATTTCAAGTTAATTTTAATGTATACTGCTACATAAGGGTCATGTTTCATTTGTTTCTTGCAAAGTGATATCTAACTGTTCCAGCATATTTGTTGAAAAGACTGTCTTTCTCCCATTGAATGATTTGGTACCCTTGTCAAAAATCAGTCATATATGTGTGGGTCGATTTCTGGACTCTGCATTCTGTTGTATTGGTCTATATCTATCCTGAAACCTATACCACACTGTCTTCACTATGCCACACACTTACTTTAGAATAAGTGTTAAAATCAGGCAGCTTGAATCTTTCAATTTTGATATTCTTTTTAAATTTGGTTTTGCTATCCAATTTCCTTTGCATTTCCACATAAATTATAGAGTAAGCTTGTTGAATTCTACATAAAAGCCTCCTGGATTTTAATTGTGATTGTGTTAAATCTGTTGATCAATTTGGGGAGAATTGACAGTTTCACAGTGTTGTCTTCTGATTCATAAATATGGTATATGTTTTCCCATTATTTAAGTCTTTAATTTCTTTCAACAATATTATGTAGTTTTTAGTGTACAGGTCTTGAAAGTTTTAAAAATTTATCCTTAGGGATACTTTATAATTATTTTATGTTTTTAAGTTATAAATGGTTTATCAGTCATTATTAAAAATTTCAATTTGTAGTTGATTCTTGCTAATATATAGACATACAGTTGATGTTTACTTATTAGCCATACTAATATTAGTTTTAGTAGTCTTTTATTGTAAATATATTGGATTTCTCTATGTAGATGATCATGTCAGGTGAGAACAAAGACAGTTTTACTGCTATTTTCTAATATGTGTACATTTCCTTGCCTTATTAAACTATCCAGGATGTTTAGAACAGTGTTAAAGAGCAGGATAAGAGCAAATATCCTTGCTTTATACCTAATTTTAGGGCAGAAGCATTCATACTGTCACCATTAACCATGTTGTTAGCTGTAGATTTTTCGTAGATGCTCTTTATTAAAAGTTGAAGAATTTCTATTAGTAATTTGATGAGTTTAAATAATCTTAGTTTGATTAGCTCTGCTTCTTTGTTCTTATGGTGGTAGCTTTAGGGTTTAGAATATGTATCTTTTCTCATCACGGTAGACTTTCAAACAATATGCTGTGTCACTTTACCTGTACTGTAAGAACCTTATAACAGCATACGTCTATTTTCTTACCTTCTATCTGAACCTTAAAAGGCATACATCTGTTTCCCTGCCTTCTGTCTTTTGTGCAGTTGTTCTCAGACATTTTACTTCCATGTATTTTTTAACCTTTACAATACACTGTTTTTGCCTTAAGCAATTATCTTTAAAATAATTTTTAATAGAAAAAATGTTTTATATTCATAAAGTAGTCATTTTAAGTGTTCTCTTTTCCTTTGTGTTGGTATACATTTTCATCTATTACATTTTCCTTTTGCATAAAAACTTCCTTTAGCATTTGTTTTTGTAGTGCAGGTCTGATAGCCGTAACTTTTGTTAGCTTTTATTTGTGTGAGAAAATCTGCATTTTGTCTTAAGATGTTTCCCTTTCTTTAAAACAGTTTTGCTGAGTTAATAACAAATTATAAATAATTTGTACATATTTAAAGTGTACAATCTGATAACTTTTGACCCATGAAATCATCACCACGATAAAAATAACATCCCCACAAATGTTCTCCTATACAGGAGATTTTAGGAGGAAAGGTGCATTTGAACTAAATCTTCAAGAACAGGTATGTTCCCCAAATAAGATTAGCTCATTCAATCAAAAGTATGTATTAAATGCTTACTGCGTTCGCTAGGATGAATAAAACAGTCATGATTTCTAGAAGGAGATGCATATTATAAAATAATAAAACAAAATAAACCCAATAAATATAATGGCAACAGAGTGCTGTAGTATGAGAGAGAATGATGGAGAACCTACTATAAATTTAGTTATCTCTTTGAGGAAGTAGTGTTAGGTTGACATTTGAAGGGTATGTGGGAAGGAACTTCCTGTGCTCTGATGAGAGAAGCCTGTTGAGCATGAGACTTTAGGGCACGGCTGTAGATGCAGTCATCTTTTTGCAAGGATGGGCTGAATACCTGTTCACTTACTAAACCGTGGGAGTACAGCTACACTCTAGTGCAGTTCCTGTTAGGCTATTATGAGAGAGAGTTATGGAGAAAATTTCTTCCTAATAGAATGATGAAATATGCTTGTATATTTAGTAGTTTGAGTTAATGCATTTTACATTACTGTATTCCTATAGCATGGCTAAGCTTAACAATAAAAAAAAACTATGTAGTCTTTGCCTTTATAAAGGAACTTAACTTGATAAAGATAAGCTCCCTATTTTAGCAGCAAATAATTCACTTTCCTTTTTGAACAAAGATAAGATTATTCAACTATTATATATGATTTTTAATACTTCCAATGAAAATATTTTACCTCAAAAACCTTAAGGATGATTTTTCTTATAATTTTTTGAGAGGTATTTCTGAATTTAATTTTATTTTTTGCAATACATATTTATGAAGAATATAATATGTGTCATATACTAGGCATGGTGCTGAAGATGCAAAGATATGGTGTACTGTCATAATTTTCTCATTTTCCTATGCCTTTGCCAAGAAAAAAATAGAGCATTAAATTTATAATAAGCATAAATCAGTACATTAATTATTAGTACATTTATTTGAAACCTTTGAATAATTTTTTTCTATTGCAAAAGTGATAATGTACATTCATTACAGAGAACTTCAAAAAGCCAAAAAAATTATTTTAATTCTGTCAAAAAAGTTCTTATTGAATGCTGCTTTCTTCAAGGCAGGCACTGTACTATGTGCTTAGTATACTACATGAGCAAGACAGATGGTCTCTGCATTTAAGAAGGGCATAGGCCAGGCCCAGTGGCTCATGCCCAGCACTTTGGGAGGCCAAGGCAGGAGGATCACTTGAACCCAAGAGTTCAAGACCAGCCTGAGCAACATAGGGAGACCCTGTATCTACCAAAATAGTTAAAAATTAGCCAGGTGTGGTAGCCAGTGCCTGTGCTCCCAGCTACTCGAGAGACTGAAGTGGGAAGATTGAGTGAGCCCAAGAGGTTGAGGCTGCAGTGAGCCATCATGCGACTGCACTTCAGCCTTGGCAACAGAGTGAGACCCTGTCACCAAAACAAAACAAAACAAAACAAAAATGCATAGTATTCTGGGGAATGGATATTAAATAATTACAAGTATTTTTTGAGGTATGAAACAGAAGATAAAAACCACTCTAAATCTTACCATCTAGAAATAATTGCTAATACCGTGTTAATATATTTTCCACTGTTTATACTGTACACATATTTTCAATTTTATCATTTTAAAATATGTTACTTGTTGCCTACTAATTATGTAGATACACTTTAACTTATTAAAACCTTCCCAAATCATTGAACGTTTAGGTTGTTTTCATTTTTTAGTCAACTTAAGTATAATTTACATATAATGAAATGAACTCATTTTAAGTATATGATTAGATGACTTCTGACAAACATATATATGCATGTAGCCCCCATCACAATAAAAATATAAAACATTCTCATTGCCTCAAAAAGTTCTGCCATGCCTCTTTGCAGTCAGTCTTCCCTGTACCCATAGTACATCCACACGTGGCCCTAGGTAGCCATTGGTCTGCTTTCAGACACTAAAGATTTGATTCATCTTTTTAAAAATGTCACAGAAATGAACTCATACAATATATACTGTCTTGTATCTACTTCTTTCATTCTGCGTAATGTTTTTTGAGATTGTTAACTTTGTTGCATTTCTCAGTCATTTATTTCTTTTATTGTGAAGTCATTATCCTTTGCACAGCTATACCACCATTTGTTAATCTCTCCCACTGGTGACGTACATGCGGATTAATACCAGTCATTGCCTAATATGAATAAAGCTGATAGGCCTGTTTCTTTTCTCTTTAATTAATACTGAAGAGTATGATTGTTGGATTTATGGTAAGCATATGCTTACATTTTACAAAAATTTAAAACTGTTGTGTCATTTTACAGTCTCAGCATTAATGTAATGAGAATTTTAGGTGTTCTGCACCCTCACCAGTGCTTGCTGTGGTCAGTGGTTTTCATTTTAGTCATTCTAACGAGTGTGTGGGAGTATGTTACTGTGGTTTTAAGTTGCGTTTCTCTTATGACTAATGATAGGAAATGTCTTCACTCAGACTTTTTGCCATTGCATATACTTTTGTGACCTGTCTATTCAAATATTTCACCTATTATTCGGTTGTTCATCTTCTTACTGAATTATAGGAGTTCTTTGGATGTTCTGGTTACAAATAGTTTGCCAAATATTTGTATTACAAATGGTTTCTTCCAGACTGTAGCTTGCCTTTTCATTTTCTCAGTGATGTCTTTTGAGGAACAGACGTTTTTAATTTTGATGTCTTATTTATCAATTCTTGCCTTTTATGGTTTTCACTTTTTTTGTGTACTGTCCAAGAAATGTTTGTGTACCCCAGGTCACACATCTTTCTCCTATTTGTTATGTGTCACGTGCTATATAATAAGTTTCTGTCAACAGTGGGCCATGTATATGACAATACCATAAGATTATAATGTAGCTGAAAAATTCATATTGCCTAGTGATGTAAATGTTGTAAGTCATACTGCAGTGCATTACTCACATGTTTTGGTGATGCTGGTGTAAGCAAACCTGTGCTGCCGGTTGTGTAGAAACATAGCACATGCAGTTAGATACATAATACTTGATTGTGATAGTACATGACTGTGTTACTTCTTTATTTTATATATTGTACTTTTCATTGTTTCTTAAAGTGTATTACTTTCACTTATTTAAAAAAAAATAGGTAACTGTAAAACAGCATCAGGTGGGTCCTTCAGGTGATATTCCAAAAGAAGGCATTGTTAGCGTAGGAGATGACTACTCGATGCCTGCTCCGAAAGACCTTACAGTGGGACAGGATGTGGAGGTGGAAGACAGTGATACTGATGATCCTGACTGTGTAGGTTT